>NC_000013.11:69923257-70074772 GCF_000001405.40 Homo sapiens | reverse complement strand
ATGATCAACAGCATAATTTTTTTTTTTTCTTGCTTGCTCGGGTTAAAGTTTCACTGAATATGGCTTGTTGAAAATGCTCTCCAAACAAAAGTTGGGTGTTGGAAAATGTTGCCTACTACATCAGAATATTAAAGGCTCTGAGAAATTCTGTGTCAAGGAAACATGTTTATCATTGTTTAACCCTACATTTCTTAAACTTATTTGATGAAGGATCTCTTTTTTGCATCTAATACCTGTGTCCCCTTTGGAATGCCCTCTTGGAATCTCTTGGGTGGACGATAATCAATCAGTGGTGGGATATGAGTGAGATGAGGTAGATGTGGGGGTGGGGAGTACCACTTTTAAGTTATCTAAGAGGAGACAGTAAATATAGTTGGGCATCCTAACTAACCATACCTGTCATAACTGAAAAGCCCAAATGGCATCACCTTAGATCCGAGATTATAGAGGGACCAGACAGACGACAGAAAGGAGTGGCAACTGTAGTGATGCCGAGAGATGGTAGTACTTCTACATGAAACAGTCCTACTCAGTCTCAGCTCATGTGGCTATGGAGATATAATGGGCCCACTATGGCCAAATCTCTTAATTCTTCAAATCATGCTGAATATCAAAATTTTTATGGGCCGGGTGCGGAGGCTTAAGGTGCCGGGCAAGGTGGCTCACGCCTGTAATCCCAGCACTTTGGGAGGCCGAGGTGGGCGGATCACCTGAGGTCGGGAGTTTGAGAACAAGCCTGACCAACATGGAGAAACCCCATCTCTAGTAAAAATACAAAAATTAGCCGGGTGTGGTTTCTCATGCCCATAATCCCAGTTACTCTGGAGGCTGAGGCAGGAGAATCGCTTGAACCCAGGAGGTGGAGGCTGCGGTGAGCCAAGATCACACCACTGCCCTCCAGCCTGGGCAACAAGAGCGAGACTCCATCTCAAAAAAAAAAGAAAATTATGTTTGCTCTCCTGCATTTCAATTTTTCTTTTTCTTTTTATTTATTTTGAGACAAGGTCTCACCCTCTCACCCAAGCTAAAGTGCAGTGGCACGATCATGGCTCACCGCAGCCTCTAGCTGCTGGGCCCAAGCAATCCTCCTACCTCAACATCCCAAGCAGCTAAGAACACAGGTGCACACCACCACACCCGGGTTTTTAGAAGAATTTTTTGTAGAGACAAGGTCTCACTGTGATGGCCTGGGCTATTGCCTACATTTTTTTTTTTATTACACTTTAAGTTTTAGGGTACATGTGCACAACGTGCAGGCTTGTTACATATGTACACATGTGACATGTTTGTGTGCTGCACCCAGTAACTCATCATTTACATTAGGTATATCTCCTAATGCTATCCCTCCTCCCTCCCCGAACCCCACAACAGGCCCTAGTGTGTGATGTTCCCCTTCCTGTGTCCAAGTGTTCTCCTTGTTCAATTCCCACCTATGAGTGAGAACATGTGGTGTTTGGTTTTTTGTCCTTGCAATAGTTTGCTGAGAATGATGGTTTCCAGTTTCATCCATGTCCCTACAAAGGACATGAACTCATCCTTTTTTATGGCCGCATAGTATTCTATGGTGTATATGTGCCACATTTTCTTAATCCAGTCTATCATTGATGGACATTTGGGTTGGTTCCAAGTCTGCTATCGTGAATAGTGCTGCAATAAACATACATGTGCATGTGTCTTTATAGCAGCATGATTTATAATCCTTTGGGTATATACCCAGTAATGGGATGGCTGGGTCAAATGGTATTTCTAGTTCTAGATCCTTGAGGAATCACCAACTGTCTTCCACAATGGTCAAACTAGTTTTTTTCTTCTCTTATTTCATTAGCTAGAACTTCTGGTTTGATGTTGCATAGGAATGGTGAGAGGGGAAATCCTTGATTTGTTTCTTAGGGAGAAAGCATCTAGTTTCTCACACTTAATCCATTAGTATGATCCTAGGTGTAGTTTTTTTTTAAATAAAAGTTTTTTACCAAGTTGAAAAAGTTTCCATCAACACTTAGCACCAGCTGAGCACTTTTATCATAAATAGATGACAGATTTTGTCACATGCTTTTCTGCATCTATTGATATAATCCCCCTTTTTTTTTCTTCAGTTTGTTGATGTGATTGATGTATTCCACAAATTGTTTTCTGAATGACAAAGCATCTTTGCATGCCTGGGATAGGTTCTACCTGGCCACAGGTGTATAATTATTGTTATACATTTTTCTATTTGATGTGCTCATATCTCATTGAGGATTTCGCACATATCTACAAGACAGATATTGATCTGTAGTTTTCTTTTTCGTAACATCATTGTCTGGTTTTGGTTTTACTGGGATACTGACCTCATGACTTCACAGAATGATTAGAAAATATTTCTTCAATTTTCAAAAATGAATTGTAGAAAAATGGCATCATTTCTACCTTAACTATTTAGTAGAATTCACCAGTAAAAACATCTGGGCATTCTGTACCTTCCATTTTGGAAAGTTATTAGTTTTTTATTCAATTTATTTAAAAACTACACAGATATTTATTTTTCCTTGGGTGAGTTTTGGTCAATTGTGTCCTTCAGGAAAATGGTCCATTTTATCTAAGTTACCAAATTTGTGGGCAGAGTTGTGCATAGTATTTCTTAGCTATACAGTTAATGTCTATGGGATCAATAGTGATGGCCCCTCTTTTATTTCTGATATTAGTAATTTGCACGTTCTCTGTTTCATCTTGGTTAGTCTGAGTAGGACTTTATAAATCTTCAAGCTAGCTTTTGGTTTCTTTGATCTTCCCTGTTTTTGTTTTCCTGGTTTCAATTAAATTGATTTCTGTTGTGAATTTTATTATTCATTTTCTTCTGCTTACTTCAGGCTTAATTTTCTCTTCTGTTTCCAGTTTTGGGGGGCTGAAGAATAGATTATTAATTTTAGGTCTTTATAGACATACTTCCAATTTTGCTGTATGTACTGTATTCCATGCTTTGAACATATATTGATTGGTTAAATTTTTGTTTCCATTTAGCCCAAAATATTTTTAGGTTTACCTTAAAATTTCTTATTGATCTATATGTTAGTTAGGAGTCTCCAATAACTCCAAATATTTGGAGATTTTCCAGTTATCCTTTTTTATTGACTTTTATTTTAATTACATTGTGGTCTGAGAGCATACTTTTCATGATGTCTGATTTTTTTCTTTTTTTGATTCGTTAAGGTCAGTTTTATGGCCTGCAATGTGATGTGTCTTGGTGAGTGTTTCATGTGAGCTTGAGAAGATCGCATATTCTGCTGTTCTACAAATGTCTGTTAGATGCTGTTATTTAGTTCAACCACTATTTTACATATTTTCTGCCTGCTGTATCTTTCCATTACAGAGGTGCATTGAAGTCTGTAACATAGGGGGTTTATCTATTTTTCCTTGGAGTTCTGTCAGTTTTTGCCTCACATATTTGACACTGCTGCTAGGTACATATATATAAAGGACTGTTGTGTCTTCTTAGAAATTTCACCCTTTTATCATGTAGTGCTGCTCTTTATATCTTCTAATTTTTAAGTCTGTTTAGTGTGAAAGTAATATAGCTACTCCAGCCTGGTATATCTTTCCCCGTTGCTTACTTCTAATCTCTATGTGTCATTTTACTTAAAATGGATTTATTTTATTTATTAATTTTTTCAAGTCTCAGAGTCTCTGGCTTTTAATTGTTGGATTTAGAATATTCATATTTAAAGTGATTATTAATAATTTTATTTCTACCTACCATGTTTGTAACTGTATTCTACATATTTCCCTTGTTACTTTTTTGTCTTCCGATTTTTTGTGCCTTCCCTTTATTTTAACTGATATTTTTATATAATTCAATTTTCTCCTCTATTAGTCTATCAATTATAGTTCTTTAAAAAAAATGGTTTCCCTAGGTTTTGCAATTTACATTTATAAGTAATTCAAGTCCCCATTGCAATAACACTCTACTGCTTCACAGGTAGTAGAAGTACCTTCTCATGTCCTTTCTCCTGTTACTTATAACATCATTATCAGTTAGTTAGCTTATCCATGAGCTAGAACCAACAAATACAGTGTTGCTGTTATTAATAGTTTTTATTTAACTTTTATTTCTTCTCCCGCATTCTTCCTTTCTATATGTAGGCCTGAATTTATTATCTGTATGATTTTTCTTTATTCTGAATAACTTCTTTAACATTCTTATGAGGTAGACCTACTAGCAACAAATTCTTTGTATTTTTGTTTAAGAATTTTTTTATTTTTCCTTAATGTTTGAAGGATAATTTCTCTAGGGATGGAATTCTACATTGGTGGGTTTTTCTTTCTGTCTTTTAACATTTTGAATATTTTACTCCACTCTCTTTTTGCCTGCATGGTTTCTGAGTGAAGGTTCAATGTAATTCTTATCTTTGTTCTTCTATAGATACATGCTTCCCCCTTCTTCCTGGCTTCTTCCAATATGTCCTCTTTCTCCTTGATTTTCTGAAGTTTTATTATGAATGATATGCCTAGGTGAAGAATCTTGATGTTTATCTTATTTGCTTTTCTCTTATATGCCTGGATCTGTGGTTTGGTGTCTGCCATTAACTTTAGAAAATTCGCAATAATTATTACTATAATTATTTCTTCTGCTTCTTTTTTTTTTTTCGAGACGAGTCTCACTCTGTCACCCAGGCTGGACTCGGCTCCCTGCAACCTCTGCCTCCTGGGTTCACACCATTCTTATGCCTCAGCCTCCCAACTACCTGGGACTACAGGTGCCCGCCACCACACCCAGCTAATTTTTTGTGTTTTTAGTGGAGACGGGGTTTCACCGTGTTAGCCAGGATGATGTTGATCTACTGACCTCGTGATCTGCCTGCCTCGGCCTCCCAAAATGCTGGCATTACAGGCATGAGCCACCGTGCCCGGCCTCATCTGCTTCTTTCTCTCATTTTTCTCCTTGTTTTTCCATTATACATATGCCACATCTTTTGTAATTGTCCCACAGCTTTGGATTTTATATTTTTTAAAATCTTTTCATTTTAGTCTGGAAGATTAAATCGACATATCTTCAGGCTTGCTGATTATTTCCTTGGTTTTGTTCAGTCTTCCGATGAGCCTATTAAAGGAAATCTTCATTTCTTTTACAGAGTTTTTCATTTCTAGCATTTCTTTCATTCTTTCTTAGAGTTCCCTTCACTGTGCTTATATTATCCATCTGCTATTGCATGTTGTCTGCTATTACCATTTAATCCTTTTAAATTCTTAGTCTTATAATTCTGAATTCTCTGCCATATCTGAGTCTGGTTATGATGTTTACTTTGTCCCTTTGTGGTTTTGGTTGTTTGTTTTTGCCTGTTTAGCATGCCTTGTAATTTTTTGTTAAAAGACATACATGATTTATCAGTTAAAAGAAACTGAGGCTTTATGTTTCTCTTGATAGGAGTTGATATGTGTTTACTATTTGCTATAGTTATGGTTTCACTGGCTAAGACTCCTTCTGGTGCCCCTGTTTTTGTCTGACCTATTATCTTTGGATGTTCCTAGAACCTACTTAAATAGTGTCAAAGGCTTTCAGTGTTTGTTAGCTGTAATCTCCTTTTTATTATACAGGACCACTATTGATGTGATGGTAGCGTATGGGGCTTGTGGGAGCTTTCTAGAGCCTTATGACTAGGTCTCCGTCTTTTAGTGAGCCAGAGCTGAGTATTTTTCACTTCCTTCAGGTCAATTAGATTTTGATAAAATCTCAATAGGTTAGTTCTGGCAAAATAGTTTAATAGTTTGCCTTGAGGTCAGGCCTTGTTAAGGAGAACAGAGTGCTCCTAAGACATTTTGATATAGTTGCTTTTTTTCTTCTTTCTCTGCCAGAAGCAAGAAGGCTTTTTCCTCAGATCTTCACAGTAAGAACCTTGTAGGGCTCCTGGAGGTAAAACTCAGGAAAGTGTGCCTCCTCCCCCACGACGAGACTGAGCCCCTAAGACATTTTTCACCCATAAGCTAAGTTCTTAAATTTCAAACTGCATGTTTGTTATTTTTATGTGGAGGAAAAACTGATAGCATTAGCAAACAAGATAATCTATTAAATTATTTACATGAATTTATTACTAAACTAACATATCAGAATTAACATAAAGCCACAAGCGATTTAGATTTTTAGGGATAAACAGAAACAGCTCTATTTCCACTCACAAAATAGGCACATTTTTACACACTGTAGCATGTGCATACCCACTGTATAAAATTACTGGAAATATAATATTGGAAGTTCATTGTAGCTGAGGTAACATTTGTGAAACTTAACTTTGGGTCTGAAACTCAAATATGTGCCACTGTATAAGAAATAAGTAATTTAATGTGTCTAATAAATTGTATACAGGTCCTAATAAAATCATAATTCATTAATCAGTGTCACTGTAAATATAATTTTAAAAATCCTTTTTTTTTGTTTTTGTTTTTGTTTTTGTTTTTGTTTTTGAGACGGAGTCTCGCTCTGTCGCCCAGGCTGGAGTGCAGTGGCGCGATCTCGGCTCACTGCAAGCTCCGCCTCCCGGGTTCACGCCATTCTCCTGCCTCAGCCTCCCGAGTAGCTGGGACTACAGGCGCCCGCCACCACGCCCGGCCAATTTTTTGTATTTTTAGTAGAGATGGGTTTTCACCGTGTTAGCCAGGATGGTCTCGATCTCCTGACCTCGTGATCCGCCCGCCTCGGCCTCCCAAAGTGCTGGGATTACAGGCGTGAGCAACTGCATCTGGCCCTTTTTTTTTTTTTACTTATACTAAAACGTTAGTGAACAACATGTGATTTACCGTGATCAAATAAACATTTGAAAAGAAACAGTGTATACTGTAGACTTGCCAATATTTCTGGAATTTTCCTTCTTACTAGACTTTGTGAGGTGATAATTGTAGCTTCCCAGTTCTTCAATACATCCTTCTATGTTTGGGTAAAATTTTGCTCCACTGGTTGTCATATTATTGGATCAATGGTTATGATGGCATAATGGTTATGGTGGAGGAAACAGGAAAAGATGGTGGCTCTCACTGGTCTCATTATCAGTTCTGGATTCCAGCAGCTCTTAGAAAGTCTCATTGATTGTTTATTTCAGATTCTTTCAAAGAGATATGGAATTCAAAGCCACATCAAGAACCTTTTTGTTGTTGTTGTTGTTGTTGTTGTTGTCAAAATATGTCATCTGAGCCCCTGTACTAAGACCGCCTGCCCTTTTATCCTTCCTGGCCAAAGGAATTCCACTCGAATGATCTGCCTTATTTGAACCACAGCCTGGGCCTGAGATCATCTGCGTATCATGCTTACCCTTCGTTCTCCACCGGCTTTCCCCATACAAGGTCCAAGTCCCTATGTAACCCTTAGTGGCTGTGTGACATTTGACAATTCTTTCCCCTTCACATATCATTAATATTCTACCTAAAACATAGATATCAATATAAAATAAGAATGGAATAAGAATAGTAAAAAATAGTACCTACCTCACAGGGTGTTGTGAAAATTAAATGAATTAATGCTATTAGTTCAATGTATTACATACAATAAACAATGAGTAGAGGGTACTTTCACATGTTACCTTTTTCTTTCCAAAGTATAATTTTTAAATGCTGGAACATGTTTTCTCAGTTTTTATTAGTGTGTTTTAGGTTGACATTGAATACTTGTTCAGTAACTGGATGATCACGTAATAACAGGTTTGTCAAGCTGAACCATTTATAAAGCTGAATCTTGCGGAAACTGGAGTACAGGACTTCGTTCTCTTAATGTTATTTCCCAAGAGCCTAGTGAGTGCCTAGAGCTTACAAAGTGCTTGATAAATTTTATTTTATACTTAAAACACTAAAGACTTATGCTCCTGGAATCGTAAAGAAAACACAACTCTATGAATAAGCGAATATGTCTAGATAGGCAAATAGATTATTATTTTAGAGCTGTTATATAAAATGACTATTTTTCATTCTGTTATGATAAAATTTGGCCACTTTCATCAAAGGTAAAACATGGATGGATTGTGGTTACAAATAAAAATCTAAGAGCTTAGCATAGGCTGTGATGTGCTAGGCAAATTACCCGTTATAATTCCAGCTTTGACATTGACAAGGACTCTTGGCAGCAGGGTTGGTAAGGCCAGTTTCTAATGATAAGAAGAATCAAATAAGAGAAAATTCTCCCAACATTATCAGTCTCTGGAATAAATGTTTCTCATTACCGACGAAGGACTATGAATCCATGGCCAAAATGGAGGTAGTAAACAGAGTTTCTGATTCCCAAAGCAGTGTTTAATGTAGCACTGAAGAGGAATTCTGCTCATTTCTCTGATGTCATAACTCATTGACCTGTATATAAATCACGCATCAAAATTTTTATTCTATCTCCATTTTTATTCTATTTGCACTCTACATGTCTTACTTAAGTTCTTATCTCTAGGTTTCACATAGCTCTCAGCGTATAGTAGGTATTCAATAAAGGCTCGTTAAACTTGCTTCATACTGATTTTTAAAAAAGTAAATCTCTCATTGCTAGATGACTTAGACAGACTAAATTAGTAACTTTACCCTTGCTTAATATGCTTCTAAAACACACTTCAATTTTCTACCACCTCTTGAGAACTCGAAGCATGAGTGTAAATTCACAGTGCAGACAGTAAAAAGCACAGCTGGTAAACCACAGGGCAAATTTGCAAACCCTTGTGTTGCTTGATTTAGTTCAGTTAATTACTGTTTATTTTGAATAATTATGCTATAGTCTGTAGTTTAAAAAACATTTTTGTCTGAGCAAATTGATAGAAATATTTATCAATGTCTTTAGTTAATGCCTTAATTTCCCCCAGATAATCACTGTAGAATGCAAAATTTAGCTCACTAGTCTACATAATAGGACTTGATATATGCTTAGCCTTGTCTTTTAAATAGTTTTTTTTTTTCATCTTGGTTTTGATGAAGTAATGAATATTAGTGGTAAACTTGGGAATTCTGACTACCATCTGCTAATCCACCTGCTAAGCCTTTACATAAACTGATGTTCAGGTGTCATTGAACAAAGGCACTGTTTTTGGCATTAAAGTAAAACTGCAAATGTTCTGGTTTGGACAGATTTACATTACTCCTCTTTACAGTTTGTTGTCTCCAAGCACATATACTAAAAGAATAAAATCCAAAGGGAAATCTTTTGTACCCTAAAATTTTCTGCTGTCCTTAAAATTTTGTGTTAAATGGTAATTGCTGCTGCAAGATGTCTTTTCCAGTGTTAATAAAAGATGAAGTTACATGAAAGAATGGCTGTTTTCTTGTCACTGATTGTAGTAAGAATAGGTAAACACCTCTTTATTCAGCCTTCCACTGTTAATCAAATGCTTTCCATATCTCCCCACTCTATTGTGCTTTCCCTAATATGTCTCAAGGTGTAGGAGAATTGGCTAGCATGCCATGATCTAGAGTGATTTGACTAAGAATCTGGAGTTGGCTATGATGCCACTGTCATCTGTTATAGGCAAGTTCTTGACCCTCAGTCACCCAGGGATATGAAATCCTGCAAAAAAAAGTATGGTCAATTTTTAGTAACTTACATAATATTTAATTTGGCCTTTGGTAATGTATGCAGCATAGTTAAAATATTTTTTTCTACAGTCACAAAAGAATCACTGAAGGAAGAACTGTGGTTAGGCCAATATTCAAGTATCACTGTTCCTGGGGGCTCTGGTCTTGAAATAAACAGGGTTAGAGTATCAAGTCTGGATGATAAGATTATGACCTATCGACTTGCCAAAATCACCCTCTCTATCCTTTTAAACCCTGAATTATTCTTATAATGCACTCTTCATTACTATAATTAAATAATAATCTGAAGGAGGGTTGACTGCAAAGGGGTTCAAGGAAACTTTCATAGATGATAGAAATAAAATGTAAGATGGGGTGGTAGTTTCATACATGTACACATTAGTCAAAATTTATCAGACTGTAGACTTAGTGCCCAGGCAACTGTGCCAAGGAGATATTTTCTAGTATTCAGTTTCTCTCACCCTGCTTTAGTCCTTAGTCGTGGATCGCCAGCCAAATCTGTGGCACATTAGCATTAGCAGGTGGCTAAGTTAATTATTTATTGTATTTCTGTATTTTTTTCAGAATATATGTATTGTACCAGATACCGTGTTAGGCACTACAACTACAACGGTAGGCAATAGTCTCTTACCCTGTGAAGTTTATAGTTAAGTGAATATTAATGAAAAATGGAAAACATGAAACATTACAACCATGACAATGAGGTTTATCACAATAGGTGAAGGAGCTAACGTGAAGCAGCAGCTTTTGAATGACAAGTTATAACAACTCTGTAAATGTTAACATAAAACACACTACAGAATTTGTATTTATTTAATATTCACTTCTGAAAAGGTCATTTCACGTCATCCCCAACTTACTATATTTATGGTGAGGTAAGTACACAATATCTTCATTGATTTCCCTATTCACACTTACATTTATGAAATTTAACCCATTTCAAAAATTTGTATGTTTTGGCTGAGATTATATTTCTAAAAGACATTGCAATCCCTGAGGGCAAATGGTGTTTTATTAATCTTTTATCCAAGAAATATATCAAGGTTTTTTTGTTTTTGTTCTTCTAACTGGCCAAAATAAATACTTGTTGCTTTGTTCATTCTGTTTCTATGCTGATTAATTAGTCCTCATAGACAATTATTGATTTGTTCAGCCTGTCTTTGTGTCCATTAATCCGTCCTCTAACTAAAGCTTGATAATCAATTCTGATAATAAGTATTTTCTATAACCTATACTTCAGTGGGTGTTTTTCTGATGAAAACAACATTGTATAATTTTGATGTTTTGGTTAATTTTGAATTAGCCCTGCAGAGTTTAAAAATGACTTAAACCCTAGGAAGAAAAAGAAAGCATCCAATCATATAAACACACCTATAAATATAATATAAGGAAGAACTTGATATTTGCCAAATTATTTTCCAAAGCAGCATGGTTCAAATACAGATAAGCAATTAGAGTCCATTGTGCAGTAGCTTGTAAACAATGTATTATCACCAATGAAGTACTAAACATTTTAAAATGCATTTTTTAAAAAAATATTAGAATAAATTCAATATTACCCTGATTTTTTTCTTTCTTTCTTGGATTTCCTTGGAGTTAAAAGGTGAGATTAATGCATTGTAAAATCAGAAATTTTGCAATCATATTTTACTTATATTGAAGTTTCTGATATCGTATAATATTAAATGAGTGGAAATTGAAAATTATCATCATGTGTGTTAGATTATAATTTTAAATAACAAAATAACATGGCATATTAGAGTATGAGTGAAATTAACAATGTAAACACTACTATACACAGTTCTAGTGATCAAGTCAGAAGCCATGTGATGGTGCCAATGAAGTTTTACTAAATGTTAAAATCTGTAAAAGCTGTAATTGCAGTTTTTATAAAGAACATAAGATTTATACTTCATGAATGTAAAAATTATGCACTTGTTATTCATGCAGTCTGTGGAGGGGCTCCCTGAAATAAAATCACTCTTAGAAAAAAAGACAGTTTTGGAATATGGAAAACACTTGTATCTCTTAAGGGCCTTATGCATCTCACCTAGCATAGTCTACTTAGAGAAGTAATCAGAGCTGGATCTGGATACTTAGAGTTTTAAGTAAAAGGTTTGGAACCACTGTGGAATTAAAGCTGGGTTCTGTTCAGGGGAATCTGAATTGCAATTATGAAAAGTCAGAATCTGTGGCCAAATTTAACCGTCCTAGGTATTTCATGGAGGCAGCTATGATGTGAATGGGAAAGGTTAAGTGAAAAAGGAACTTTAGATGAGAAAATAAAATTCTTAATTAAGGTAAACAAAAAATTGAGGAAAGTTTCACGTAACTTTGAACATGAAAAAAATTGACTGAAAAGGCAAATACATTTAATTTTTCACTTTTTCTGTTTTCTAACAAATGTTAACTATGTTCATATAACTAAAATATAATTTTGTTAAACGAACATGAATTGGAATGAAATTATTGAAACTGATAAAAATAGTATGCTTGTCCACAGAGACAAGTTTAATACATTAAGAAGCAAGAATGATAAGTAAGCAGATAAAAGTCTGATTATATAGGCATGGACAGGTACGATATTTACTCACTCATCAATTTATTAATTTAGACACAACTTACTGAGTATCCACTTTTTATTGTGCACTAATAATTTTATTATACTTTAAGCTCTGGGGTACATGTGCAGAATGTGCAGGTTTGTTACATAGGTATACATGTTACATTGCATGAATTATATGTGAACATTTGAAGTTTTATTTAAATAGAATGGCAGAAAATAAGTTGTGTACCTTGTGTTGAGAAGTTTTATCTGCATTTCTAGCTCAAATATTTATGCACCATAAATAATTTACTTAATAGGTTGCATGCAATTCAAATATACTTAGAGAATCATCATTTCACTTTTACATCTAAATTATCCAATAGTTTAGATGTAAATACAGATACTGGTAAATACAGATAAATAAATCTCAAATATAAATTGTTCATATTTATCTCAAAATTTCTCATGAGCTCAAGATAGGTAATTCTATATGAATTTTCTGCTGCCATTCAAATTTGTTATGTTTCAGAAAATACAAGCGTGCTTCCCATTGTATTGTAGTAGCTGGAATCAGATACCTAGCGGATGGGAAAGGTAACGGAGACAGGAAGATGGGGAGAGGCTGGTTAAGGAATACAAAATTACAACTAGACAGGAGGAATGAATTCTGGTGTTCTTCAGCACTGCAGGGTGAATATGGCTAACTTTACTTTATCGTACATTGTCAAAAGCCTAGAAGAGAAGATCTTGAATGTTCATAACATGAAGAAGTGAAAAATGTTTGAGTTGATATACATGCTGATGACCCTGATTTGATCATTACATGTTGTATACGTATATCAAAACATCACTCTCTAGCCAATAAATATGTACAATGATTATGTGTCAACTAAATATAAAAGGTAAAAAAGATAAGCCAAAAATAAATAAACACACAAAAAAAGAGAAACTGTGATAGCAAGGAATTTGAAAATGCAAGAACCTGGAGTGGAGAGAAGAGAATTGAGATAAGCCTTCATATTTGCTGCTAATTTTTACTCTCAAGTCCTTTGCCAATTCACAGGGTGGGGAATGGACTCTAAGGAAAAAGCTACAAATTGGATTGTGGCAGCCTCAGTGTGAAGAGAAAATCTGACTTAAGGCTACTAACTCAGGCACAGCTTGAGGATCCAAGTCCTTGGATAAAGGGAAATAAAGAGAGTGAGCACAATATGCTGCCCACACTTACTAACTTAAGGGAATTGCTGATTAATATACTGTTTATGTATTGGAAGTGACTCCAATAAAGCAGTAAAAACCACTTAAACCCAAAATAAAAGAAAATTTTAGAAACCTCATGTTACTAGTCAGAAAAAAAAAAAATGGAATTCAGGACTGCCAAGGAAAGGGGAGTAAGGACAAAACCCAAGGCTTTTAATTGTGAGTCCTGTGTAGCTACATTCTAAGACAAATTCCAGTAGATTAAATGATAATCAATCTAACAAAAGATGTGCAAGAATTCTACACTGTAAACTGTGATGATTACTAACAGAAAATTTGATTAAAACATTAAGTGAGTAGAGAATATACCATAGAGGTGGGGATGGAGATAACCATCCTCACTTCTCCCTCCCCCAGTGACCCCTCCCAGCCTGTGGTACCGGCATTCTATTCTCTATCTCCCTGAGATCAATTGTTTTAATTTTAGCTCCCACAAATGAGAACATCTGAACTTAGTCTTTGTGTGCCTGGCATATTTCTGTTAACATAGTGTCCCTCAGTTCCATCCATGCTGTAACAAATGACAGGATCTTGTTCTTTTTTTATAGCTGAAGGGTACTCTATTGTTTATATATACCACATTTTTTTTTTCTTTTGAGACGAAGTTTCACTCTTGTTGCCCAGGTTGGAGTGCAATGGTGCCATCTCGGCTCACTGCAACCTCTGCCTCCCAGGTTCAAGTGATTCTCTTGCCTCAGCCTCCCAAGTAGCTGGGATTACAGGCGCATACCACCATGCCCAGCTAATTTTTTGTATCTGTGGTCAAGACGGGGGTTTCACCACGTTGGCCAGGCTGGTCTTGAACTCCTAACCTCAAGTGATCCACGCGCCTCAGCCTCCCAAAGTGCTTGGATTACAGGCATGAGCCATGCACCTGGCCTATATATACCACATTTTTTTTTTTGTCTATTTGTCTGTTAACAAATAGGTTTTCCTTCCAAATTTTGGCTATTGTAAATAGTGCAGCAATAAACATGGGAGGGCAGGTGTGTCTTTAAAATATTGATTTTCTTCCTTTTTGTTACATATCTGGCAGTGGGATTGCTAGATCATATTCTAGTTCTACTTTTAGGTTTTTGCAGAACCTGCATACTGTTCTCTATAGTGGTTGTACTAATTTACATTCCCAACAAGAGTGTACAATGGTTCCTCTTTCTACACATTCTCACCAGCATTTGTTATTACCTGTATTTTGGATAAAAACCATTTTAACTGGGGAGAGATGATGTCTCATTATTTCTCTTATGATCTCTTATGATCAATGATGTTAAGCACCTTTTCATACACCTGTTTCCATTTGTATATCTTCTTCTGTAAAATGTCTATTCAGATCTTTTGCCCATATTTGATCAGATTATTGGATTTTTCCAAGTTCCTTATGTATTCTCTGTCTTGTTAATCCTTTATCTCATGGAGAGTGATATGGTTTGGATTTGTGTCCCTGCCCAAATCTCATGCCAAATTACAATTCCCAATATTGGAGGAGGGGCCTAGTGGGTTGTGATTGGCTTATGGGGGTGGATTTCTCCCTTGCTGTTCCCATGATAGTGAGTGAGTTCTCATGAGATCTAGTTGTTTCAAAGTGTGCAGCACCTCCTGCTGCTCTCTCTTCCTCCTTTTAAGTCTCAAATCCTCCATGTAAGACTTGCCTACTTCCTCTTTGCCTTCTGCCATGATTTTAAGTTTCCTGAGGCCTCCTCAGCCATGCTTCCTGTATAGCCTGTGGAACTGTGAGTCAATTAAACTTCTATTCTTTACAGGTTACTCAGTCTTAGGTAGTTATTTATAGCAATGAGAGAATGGACTAATATGGATAATTTGCAAATATTTTCTCCCATTCTGTGGTTTGTCTCTTAATTTTGTAGATTGTTTCCTTTGCTGTGCAAAAACATTTTAACTCAATATGATCCCATTTCTCCATTTTTGCTTTGATTTCCTGTGCTTATGAGGTATTACTCATGAAATATTTGCCCAGCCAGGCGTGGTGGCTCATGCTCATAATCTCACCAGTTTGGGAGGCCAAGGCAGGTGGATCACTTGAGGTCAGGAGTTTGAGACCAGCCTGGCCAACATGATCAAAACCCATCTCTACTAAAAAATTGAAAAAACCAAAAACAATTAGCTGGGCATAGTGATGCGTGCTGTAATCCTAGATACTTGGGAGTCTGAGCCAGGACAATCATTTGAACCCAGTAGGCAGAGGTTGCAGTAAGCCAAGGTTGTGCCACTGCACTCCAGCCTGGCTGACAGAGTGAGATTCCATCTCAGGAAAAAAAAAAAAAAAAGAAGAAATATTTGTCCATTCCCATGTCCTGGAGATTTCCCCGAATGTTTTCTTGTAGTAGTTTCATTGTTTGAGGTTTTAGTATTTGATCCATTTTTATTTTATTTTAATATATGGTGAGAGATAGGAGTCTAGCTTTATTATTCTGCACATGAATATCCAGTTTTCCCATCACCATTTATTGAAAAGACTGTCTTCTCCCCATTGTATATTATCGGCACCTTTGATAATAATGAGTTCACTGTAGACATATGGATTTGTTTCTGGGTTCTCTATTCTGTCCCATTGGTCTATGTGTCTGTTTTTATGACAGTACTATATTGTCTTGGTTACTATAGCTCTGTAGTGTAATTTGAAATCAGGTAATGTGATTCCTCCAGTTTTGTTCTTTTTGCCTAGGATGACTTTAGCTATTCTTGCTATTTTATGGTTCCATAAAAATTTTAGGATTATTTTTTCTGTTTCTGTGAATATCATTGGTATTTTATAGGAATCATGTTGAATCTAAAGATTGCTTGTGTAGTACATTTTAAAAATATTAATTCTTCCAATCCATGGACATGCAATATTTTTCCATATTGGACGTCCTCAATTTCTTTAATCAATAGTCTGATCTATACTTTATAGAGATCTTCCACTTCTTTGGTTAAGTTTATTCATAAGTATTTTATTTGTGGCTACTATATGTGGGATTAGTATTTTTATTTCTTTTTCAGATTGTTCACTCTTGGCATACATAAATGCTAGTGATTTTTGTATGCTGATTTTGTATCCTATAACTTTACTGAATTTATCAATTATAATAGCTTTTTTTTGGTGGAGGCTTTAGGTTTTTACAAGTATAAAATCATATTATCTGCAAACAAGGATAATTTGACTTCTTCCTTTCTAATTTGCATATTCTTTATTGTCTGATTGCTCTAGAGAGCACTTCTAATACGATGTTGAATAACAGTGGTGAAAGTTGGCATTGTTGTCTTGTTCCAGATCTTAGAGGAAAGACTTTCAGCTTTTCTGCATTCAGTATGATACTACCTGTGGGACTGTCATATATGGCTCTGTGTTGAGGCATATTCCTTCTATCATCTGATTTTTAAGTGTTTTTATTTTCATGAAGGGATGTGAATTTTATCAAATGCATTGTCAGCATCAATTGAAATTATGATATGGTTTTTGTCCTTTATTCTGTTGATATGATTGATTTGTACATGTTGGGATAAATATTACTTGGTCATAGTGAATTATCATTTTAATGTGTTGTCAAATTTGGTTTGCTCATAATTTATTGAGGATTTTTGCATCAATATTCATCAGAGATATTGGCCTTTTCTTTGTTTTTCTTTTCTTTCTTTCTTTTTTTTTTTTTTTTTTTTTTTGAGACGGAGTCTCGCTCTGTCGCCCAGGCCGGACTGCGGACTGCAGTGGCGCAATCTCGGCTCACTGCAAGCTCCGCTTCCCGGGTTCACGCCATTCTCCTGCCTCAGCCTCCCGAGTAGCTGGGACTACAGGCGCCCGCCACCGCACCCGGCTAATTTTTTGTATTTTTAGTAGAGATGGGGTTTCACCTTGTTAGCCAGGATGGTCTCGATCTCCTGACCTCATGATCCACCCGCCTCGGCCTCCCAAAGTGCTGGGATTACAGGCGTGAGCCACCGCGCCCGGCCTCTTTTTTTTTTTTTTTTTTTTTTTGATGTGTCTTTGTCTATTTATGATATCAGGGCATACTGGCCTCAGAATGAGTTTGGAAGTATTCCCTCCTTATAGTTTTTGGAATTATTTGAGTAGAATTAATATTAACCATTTAAAGGTTTTGTAGAAATCAGCAGTGAAGCTATAAGGTTCTAAGATTTTATTTGCTGGGAAACATTTTATTACAGCCCCAATCTCATTACTTGTTAATGGTCTGTTGAGGTTTTGGATTCCTTCATGGTTCAATCTTGGTAAGTTGTATGGGTCTAGAAATTTATTCATTACTTCTATGTTTTCAAAGTTATTGGCATATAGTTGCTCTCAGCAGTCTCTAATGATCATTTGCTTTCTGCAGTATCAGTTGTAATGTTTTTTTATCTCTAATTTTATTTATTTGAGTCTTTCTCACATGGCTAAAGGTTTGTTGATTTAGTTTGTCTTTTCACACAACGAACTTTTCAATTTTTTTTTTGATATTTTTGTTACAATTTCGTTTATTTCTGTGCTGATATTATTTATTTTCCTCTACTAATTTTGGGTTTGGTTTGCTCCTCATTTTCTAGTTCTTTAAAATGAACCGATAAGTTGTTTTGTTTTTTTCCTTTTAAATGCAGTTGTTTATTAAAATAAAATTTCCTCTTTGGACTGGCTTTGTTATATTTCATAGTTTTTGTACATTGTGTTTCCATTTTCATTTGTTTCATGAAATTTAAAAAATTTCTCTCTTAATTTCCTCATTAACCCATTGGTCATTCAGGAGCATATTGTTTAATTTCCATGTGTTTGTAGTTTCCGAAGTACCTCTTGTTACTTATTTCTTATTTTATTCTGTTGAGATCAGAGAAGATACCTGATAAAGTTTCAATTTTTAAATGTTTTAAGATTTGTTTTGTGGCCAGTCATATGGTCTATCTTTGATAATGTTTTATGAGCTAAGGAAAAGAATGTGTATTCTGCAGCCATTGAATGAAATACATTAGTTCCATTTGGTCTATAATGCAGATTAAGTTTGATGTTTCTTTGTTGATTTTCTTTCTGGATGGTCTTTCCAATGCTGAAAGTGGGATGTTGAAGTCACCAGCTATTATTATATTGGGGTCTGTCTCTTTCTTTAGCTCTAATAATATTTGTTTATTTATCTGGGTGTCCCAGTATTCAGTGCATATATATTTACAATTGTTATCTCCTCTTCCTGAATTGAACCCGTCATCATTTATAATGAACTTCTTTTTCTCCTTGTATCACTTTTGTCTTATATTTTACTTGACACAAGTTTATCTACTCCTGGTCCTTTTTTGGTTTCCATTTCCATGGGATATCTTTTTTCCATTGCTTTATTTTCAGTCTGCACATGTCTTTATAGGTGAAGTGTATTTATTGTAGGCAGCAGATTGTTGGTTCTAGTTTTGTATGTTTGATTGTCTGTTTTTTATCCATTTAGCCACAGCATGTCTTTTGATTGGAGTTCAGTCCATTTATATTTAATGTTATTATTGATAAGTAAGGACTTATTAGTGTTAGTTTGTTTTGTTATTTGTTTTCTGGTTGTTTTGTGGTCTTTTTTCCCCCTTTCTTTCTGTCTTCCTTTTTCTGAAAGTGATTTTTATCTGGTAGTATGATTTAATTTCTTGCTTTTTATTTTTTTGTGCACTTGCGGTAACTTATTTTTTATTTGAGGTTACAATGTGACTTGCAAACAAAATATTATACTCCATTTTAAACTGATGACAACTCTCATTGCGAAAACAAACCAATTAACAAAGAGAAAACTGTTAAAAACTCTACACTTTCACTACATACTCGCCACTTTTTAAATTTTGTTGTTTCCATTTATGTCTTATTATTCTACCTATGTCTTAAGAAGTTGTTGTAGTCATTATTTTATAGGTTTGTCTTTTACTCTTTCTACTCACGATATTACTAGTTAATGCAATCTTAGTGTTACAATATTTTGTATTTGTCTGTGTATTTACTGTTACCATTGACTTTTGTATCTTCTGAGGATTTCTTATTGCTTGTTAACATCCTTTTTTTCAAATTGAAGAACTCCTTTTAGCATTTCTTGTAGGACAGTTCTGGTGTTGAAATCCCTCAGCTTTTATTTGTCTGGAAAAGTCCTTATTTTTTCTTAATGTTTGAAGGAAATTATATACTTTTTTAGGATAAAATATTTTTTCCTTCAGCACATCAAATATGTGTCATTTGACATATTGGCCTCTTCTGGACTGTGAGGTTCTCACTGATAAGTCAGCTGCCGGATGTATTGCAGCTCCTTTTTATGTTTCCTCCCTTTTGCTGATTTTATGACCCTTTCTTTATCCTTGACCTTTGGGAGTGTGGTTAATAAATGTCTTGAGATAATTTCTTTGGGTTAAGTCTGCTTGATGTCCTATAACTTTCTTGTTGTTTAATATTGGTATCTTTCTCGAGGTTTGGAAAGATTTCTATTACGTCTTTGAATAAACTTTTTAACCCCAATTTATGTCTCTATCTCCTCCCTAAGGCCAATAACTTAGATTTGCCCTTTTGAGGTTGTTTTCTAGTTCTTTCACATGTATTTCCTTTTTTTCATTATTTTTTTCTTTTGTCTCCTCTGACTGTATATATTCAAATAACTTGTCTCCAAGCTCACTAATTCTCTCTTAATGCTTGATCAATTTTACTGTTAAGAGACTCTGATGCATTCTTTAGTTTTTCTTTTGAATTTTTCAGCTCCAGAATTTCTGTTTGATTTTTTTTTTTTTAATATTGCAGTCACTTTTTAAATTTGTCTGAGAGGATTCTGAATTCCTTCTCTGGGTTATCTTGAATTTTGTTTGGCTTTATCAAAATAGCTATTTTAAACTCTCTGTCTGAAAGGTTACATATTTATGTCACTTGGGGGTTGGTCACTCATACTTGTGAACCCAAACACATAAAAAAGAATGTTCATGACAATATTATTTGTGATAACTTAAACTGGAAACAAATATCCATTAACAATAGAATGGATAAAATCAATGTTACGTATATATCCATTGGGCTACTATAATGCAATAAAAATTTAACCACTGCTACATGCAGAGGATGAATCTCACAGACATAAAAAACCTCTAGAAACATAATAGTGTATACTGGACACTTGTATCACATTAAAGTCCAAAACAGAGATGGCTTTATTTAATCTGTAAAAATTCGATTTGTATTATTTAAAGTTTACCAAGATAGATATTTCTTATAATTTTTCCTACACAAAATTTAGATAATAATACCTATATTATTACTGTCTCTTAGCATTATCACTAAATGAAAATGAGACAATCTATGTGACTAGCACAGTGTGTAATGTGTAGTAAATATCAAGGAAGTTTCTTCCCTGGCTTTTTCTTGATTTATAAATGTAACTGAGCAAAGTGACAGAGGAGCTAATGCCATTAAAAGAATGTTTTTAATACTCACATTTTTCCCAGAAATGAGAGGAACAAAATGCCATCAAAGGCCACACAAAACCTGTCACATTCAGGATCAGGAAGCAGACAGAAGAACTGAGACTTTATGCCTTTGTGACTATGGTAGCAGCAAGAAAGTAGGTAGACGCATTCCCTATTGGACAGTAAGAAGGAGTAGGCAGGTTGGGGTTGGTACTTGGGGAAATTGTAATATAGTATGACTTTCTTGTGCCCGCCAAAACTAGCTTGGAAGGAAAGCATAAACAAGTGTAGGCAATTAGTCTGGTCATTTTATTCAGTGATTTTATGTAGAGGTTTACAACAATAGAAATCAAGTAGCCAATACACAGTCTAAAAACATATTTGGTACAAAACCTTGGAAGATAATTTATTGAGTCTCCTTCTTTTACTCTCATACTAAATTCATGATTAATTCCTTTTATCACAGAAATGTCTTACCACTGTTTTTTAAAAATTCTTCTTTGATCAATTGTTTTACATAGACTTCCATAAGAGTATTATAATTAATTTCCTTATTTCTCTGTCTTTAACAAACTTTTTCTGCTAAAATATTTTATTGACAGGAAGTCTCTTGAGTTGTTTCTAAATCACATATATTATTTTCACTTCCTCACAGAGCTGTCCGTCTCTTGCATTGCCTATATTCCTAAGAATAAATTCCTTAATGCCACATATTATGCTCTCTAGATCTGGCCCTAACTTATCTTTCACATCTTATATTACTCATTTACCATTTAAGATTCCCTCAAATCTGTTATATTTCCTGGAAAAGTCTTGCTGTTAAAGAATTCGTTCTATATGTTCTATTCATAAAATCTACTATATTTTGTGTTTTCTTGACCCTATATCTTATTTTTTGAAATTCTGTATGTTTCTTTTAAGACTACACTTAAATTTCACCATTTACACATCGCTTTTTCATTTTTCCTTCAATCTAATTTTTCAGTCTATTTCTCTGCATACAAAAATTTTTGTCTGGTAGATTTATTGCAGCAATTACTTTCTGCCTTGTTTGGATGTCTGGCAATTGTGTACTTATCTGTTTTTTCCCACTCAAGAATTTTTTCATGAGTCCATATCATGGAAATTGTGAATATCACAATAGATTTGTAGATATCAATGTAAGGAATAAAATAATAAATTATTTAGAAGATAATATTCAAAATGTCTAATTTATCTTCTTATATTCTCCGTATTCAACAACAGGCCTTTGCACTTGTTGCTGTGTTTCCTACCCCTAATTATGTTGAAATTAACCTAAGGCCTATGTATGTGCATGTGAGAGAGAGAGAAGGAGAGCCTGTTTTAGAGGGAACAAAAAAATCTGAGTTAGATTTGTTTTCTCTTTTAAGGGGAAATAAAGAGGTTATTTTTAAAAATTTATTTTAATAGTTAATAAATATGGGCACATAAAATTAGCTATTCAAAATATACTTAAAATTAACTAATATTAAAATATGGCATTTTATTAAAATCAAAATTTAAGTAATGTCTTCAGAATTAAGAAGGCCTCATTTTGATAGTGATTTCTAAATTTGGAAGATAAAATATATAAGGGTTTTTTTTAATTTTCTTGTAGTTCAGCTATTATCAAAACAGATGTCTCTTTCTTTGGTATATACTTGCTCCAAACACTTATCACAAATACTGGAGAAATGATAGATAACTTAAATATTTTTTTTTCTTTCTCATCAGTTTACATAGGGCCAAAGTAATTGTTTTATCTTGATGTTTCATGGTTAGTAGGATGATTTGTTCCTTAAAAGAGTAATAAATATGCTACACCGACAGGAGACCTAACTCATATTACCATTGTGGCTTCATTAATTTTGAATTCCGGTTCTGATTAACAAACAATTTCTGTGCATCAGAATTTGTGCTGCTTACCAGGAGTTTGGATTCTGATTGGAACTGGATTGAACTTCAATGGCCTATTGCACGGCTAAGAAAGTAAAGATCTAAGATAAATATTAGGAAATCTAGGTTTCTGAAATACTAAAATATTTCTCGTATTTAAGAATAAGAAATACTTTATAAAAGGTATCTTAATAGAGTTTGACAAATGAAAAAAAAAAAGCTTTCTATAAAACCAAAGATAGGACAAAAATCTTTACTTTAAATTCTCAGTTTAGCATTGTTTTCTTGTAGTCCACAACAAAACAAATGTAGATATCAAGTATTTCCTTAGCAGTCTACCATCAATCTCTGAAAAGTTAGCAGAACAAATTGGTAAACAATCCATAATGTCAGTAAGAACCCATAGCATCATAAATCACAGGTTGGAATGACCCACAATATAATTGAGTCATCCACACATCTAGTCTTAGTAATGTTCCTGCAGCTGCTTTATCATGTGCCCCATAAACTTACGTTTGAACATTTCAATTCATGTGTAACTCACTACCTCCTTTAGACAATATCAGTGTTGGACATTTCTTCCTTCTATTGAATTAAATTTCATTCATAAATGGTCTAGATAAAGTGCTTGTCTTTTAATAGGAAATATCCACGCACTTCTTTATGGTGAATATCAATTATGTGCTGCATTGTTTTTTCCAAAGTAAACATTAATGTATATGAACACTATGCAGAAAGAACTCTAGAATAACACTAAGATTTTCTGTCATTGCATGTAAAACCTGAAAAGCTGAAGGCAATTATCAATAATAGATGTAACCATCTGCCATTCATTTTCATGTGCAAAGAATACACAGAAAAAGAATTGTGATCAAATGGTCATCCTGTGAGGTTTTTGTTATTGGAAACACATGATATTACTAATTACGATTAAATAAAATTTCATAAAATCTCAACATTATACAATATTAAGAAAAATTTACAAGTCCTCCAAATTTTGTGTGAAAACATTTCTTAATGAATATTTTGTAGAGTAATCTAACTTTGCACCCCACACGTCTATTTTTGTAGAAATCCGTGATTTAGACATTTCCAATATCTTTCCCAGGGGCACATTTTATATTCCAACCAAACCTGGCATTAAAGCCCAAATGACCTCCTTCTAGTCAGTAATGCTAATTTCTTTTTAAAATTCTAAGTATGAAGTTAGAGAAAGAGGTACTTATCTGCTCCAATTAGCTATGACAAATATGAGATTCAATTTAATGTCCTAGGGATCATAATTATCACCACAAAATTAGTTAATGCATATAAAAACACTTACAAAATGGTAAAGTGTCACTCAAGTGTTAACAATTATATGACAAATAATATTGCAAAATTGCTCTCATAAAAACATGTTATATTTTTGTTATGATAGGTAACAATTACCAGGTTAACACTTATATTTTGATCATGATTAAAATATTTTTTGAATGCAGAAGCAGAAGTTTGCATCATCATAATTAAACTCAGATATAAAAAAATTGTAATCAAAATCTGTGTAGAAATGGCCAGATTAATATTTATTTTATCTGATTTTTAGAATGAATACAAATTATGACACATAAAAGGGAAATCAGTCATCCACTCTTGTCCTGAGGGGAATTTCTGAAGTGCAATGTATTTCAGTTCTCATACTCTTTATGAAGAAATGAGTATGGGTTTTTTAAAAAGGAAAACCTCAGCTCCCTTTTTTTTTTAACTGAACATATCAGAAATTCAAACTTAATTTTAATATTTTATAATCTTAAACCTTATAAAACTTTAACTTTCTAGATAAATGTTTAATACAAAGGTAGAAGCTTCTTCTGAAGAAGAATTTTATGGGTAGATTTCTTAAGAAGGAAGAAGGCGTCAGAAATATGTAACTATTTTATGTAACACAGCCAGTTTTGATCAAAAGGTTTCCTTTTGATGACATATAAAGTATCAAAAATAAATGTTAAACTTTGAGTGAATTAAATTACTAATATGAATATTATAAAATTAGAGGCTGTTTGTTTTTTATAGTGTCATCTGCTCAATTTAAATAATCAATGAAAGGTAGCAATATTTTTACAGTAAAAAATGTTAAGGCAGTAAATTGATTCTTTTAATTCTGTATTTTACATTATTAATTTTTTGTTTTTTCTATATAAATTATCTATTAGTCTGATTCATTTTTCATTTTTTTCTCCTAGTTTAATATTTTGCAGTTTTAGATGTATCTGGGAATAATCTAGATTGCTGGCAATATTAATTTTCTGTCAGAAGAGTAGAAGTAAATCTTTTGTTTTGTTTTGTTTTGTTTTGTGGTAAGCCAGAACAAGTTTGAAAAATACTAAGTTTGAATTTCTAACATGATGTTCTCGAAACACCGCATTGTTTATCTTGGCCTCATTTTCCTCATATTAAAAAATAGCCACCAAAATGCCCTTTCTTTTTACTTCTAAGTTTATTATGGAGTTAAAATAGGATAATGTACTGTATATTAAAATGCATCATAAATTATAAAATCTGTGTAAATAAACTATTATAAGTTTATAGGACATAGCCTATATTAGTATGTAATAAATTATAAATGCTTGTTTATGGTGATAATAATTATACCCTTCACCAGATGATGGGAGCACAGGTGAAATAGCTGCAGTCCCTTTGTGGGCTGATTTAGAAGCATGCTGATGTTTTTTCTTTGTAATTCAGATCGACGTCAGGTAGCACATGTGAGAAGAACTCTGAAATCTCATAAAGTGTTACTTAAGTATTTTTAAATGTGGGTAGTAAAATTTTAAAAGGACAAATGTAGTTTGATCAGGAACTAATTAATTATTTTTTATTCAACTTCAAGACAACAAGAAATAAAAGAATTAGGTTTGGTTTACATAAAAGAATTGATTTTTTTTTCATTTAGTTCTATGATGTTTACTCATCTAAACTTTCTTGGCCTCAATTTTTCATATCTATCAAATGAGTTTTAATAGTCTCTTCCAGGAAACAAAGTTATAGGAAAAATAAAATCAATTAGTTAAAAAAGTATTTTCTAAACTATAAATTGCCATTTAAATATTTATTATTAGTACTAAAGATAGTGCATTCAATGAAACATGGCTAAGCTATCACAAATGAATTTCTGTTCAAGAGAAAGTATACTTACAGCAATGATGTAGACTAACTCCAAGCAAAACAAAAGTAGATAAAATGATTTTTCAAGCCTAATATTATACCTGACTTCATTTTGCCTACTTTCTGCCCCTTTCAAAGTATTGTTTATAGCAGGGGTCCCCAACCCGCAGCCCACAGACCAGTACTGGTCCATGGTCTGTTAGGAGCCAGGCCACACAGCAAGAGGTGAGTAGTGGGCTAGTAAGTAAAGCTTCATCTGTATTTACAACTGCTCTCCATCGCTGGCATCACTGCCTGAACTCTTCCTCCTGTCAGATCAGAGGCTGCATTAGATTCTCACAGAAGGGGGAACCCTATTGTGAACTGCGCATGTGAGGGATCTTGCATGCTCCTTATGAGAAATCAGTGCCTGATGAAACCGCCCCCGCTTCTCTACCCTAGCCTGCCATCTGTGGAAAAATTGCTTTCCACGAAACTGGTCCCTGTTGTCAAAAAGTTTGGAGACTGCTGGTCAACAGGTTTCAAAATCTTTCTAACTGGCTGCCTTGCCAGACAAGTTGATGTTGTATCTACCTATAGATATTGAATGATGTCCTTGCTTACCAAAGAATATGAACCAAACCAATCTGTTCTCATCATTCAAATATAGTTAAAGATAAGTGTAGAGACCATCACAAAATTTAATATGAATCCTAAATTGTGTTCTGAATTACAGAGAATTTGGGTAGTTGTATATTCTAAGCAGCATCAACATTTTTGACAGATGGATAATCACACAGAACCACGTTCAGGATTTTCAAAGTTCCCATTTCTTGTCAGGACTATCAGACTTTTTGAAAATCTAGGGAAAGTATATTTGAGATAAGTTGCCAAAAATGTAACTTGTGCAATAATATCATTTTTTAAGATTTTCCTTCAGACAGCATGTCAAATTTTGGAGTGACCTATGCTAGTGATTAAGAGCTAAAGTCCCACCCCCTTACGCACAGAAAAAGTAATGAAAACATATCTTAGGCTTTGAAAAAATATCTCATCAATGACTTATTTAAATAGTTCTGTCTTGTTCTAAGGGACTCAGGCTCAGAGATACTAAATGTCATATCCAAGATTTTAAAACTGAGCACCTAAAAGCACCAAGACTGCACTTCCCCCTTTATATGTAGTGTTTCTTCATGCTACCTTTTAACACTGACATGCTTCTGCTTAAAAGTTTAGAAGCAGGTAGAGAACAAGAAATAAGATATAATTGCAAACACGCAAGGAAGGAGGAAAGTTACATTTTGAAGTTAAGAATGTAATTGTGTTTTTTTTAAAAAAATTCAGTTTGTGTATTTAGCTGCGAGTTTAAAGCACCGTGTTCAGAAATTTTGCTAAACTGAAATCACTAAAATGTGACAATGAAAATACTGGCTTAGAAAGGTTAGAAGAATTTATCTTTTCAATGAAATCTGTGTTTTATTCTCAAGGAATGGGTTGTCTACATTATTATTGAGAAACAGTGAGTGGGGTAAGTAATGTGTCTCTAAAGAACATGGCCACTAAAGTTTTCTACTATATGGGACAAACTTTCCACCTATACAGTTATATATTTATATTTATACACACACACACACACACACAAACAGATTTCCATTTTGCACTAATTCAGAAGTAATAGGATATCTGTGAACAAAACACTCATTTCTCTACTGGAATACAGTCTCTGTTTTTGTTTTTGTCTTTGTGGGTTTTTTTTTTTTCAGTTAACCAAAAGCTTGTGATTTTTTTTTTTAAATCAAGCTGGTCAAACCAAGTTTTATAAGTTTTCTTATGTTTCATATCTACAATACTGTGTTTTTATGAAAAGATTCAATGTAGGCACACATTTTAGACCCTAAGCCTGTTCCTGTATTCTGCAGTGGTCAGTCCACATTAATGCTATTGTGTTCACTGTTGGGTTTGGTTGCAAGGTTTGGTTGGTTTGGTTGTATTATCTCAATACAAGGATAAGCATTGTATTGAGCACACTATTCAACACTTCTAGTACAAGATAAGTATTTGCAGAATAAGTTTATTAAAAGCAGTCCATGTAACCTATGTTTGTTACTGTGAAAGGAGGATCAAATACAATAATCTCGAGCAAAACAATTTCCTTAATGCTTTGGAGAGAGGAAGAGGGTCCTGATTGCAGCTTCGGTACTTGGTGGGGTAAGGTATAAACACATAAGCTAGAGGCCGGGTGTAAGGGCCTTTAATTCCAGCACTTTGGAAGGCCGAGGCGGGCGGATCACTTGAGGCCAGGAGTTTGAGACCAGCCTGGCCAACATGGTGAAACCCCGTCTCTATTAAAAAACAGAACAAAACAACAACAACAAAAAAGTTAAAATTAGCCAGGTATGGTGGTGCACTCCTGTAATCCCAGCTACTAGGGAAGCTGAAGCACGCGAATCGCTTGAGCCTGGGAGGCGCAGGTTGCAATGAGCAGAAATTGTGCCATTGCACTCCAGCCTGGGCAACAGAGCGAGATTCTGTCTCAAAAACAAAACAAAATGAAACAAAACAAACAAACAAAAACAATAGACCATGAAGTGAGATGAACCTGGGTCCAAGTCTAGAATCTGTCACTCTGCACCTGTGGGATTTTAGCCTTTGATTGATCTTCTGAGTGACATGTTCTTCACTTGTAAAGTTGGAGGAATTATCCTTACCTTCCAGAGGAAGTATGAGGATTAAAATCAGTAATTTATGCCATCCCAAAATTGGCCACTGCAGTCCTCCTGACTATATTTCCCATCTTCCTCTTTATGACATTTTTTTTTTTCTCACACTTATGCTCCAGTGACAAACACAAGAAATGTTACTGGTCCTTTGCCTGTCTTTTCACTGGTTGTATCCTCTGCCTACAATGGTCTATTCCACTGGCTTCTTGGCCAACTTAAAATTTTCCATAGCCAATTTGACCTGGTACCCAAAGGAGATTCAACATGATGTCCACTTCGCATTTTAGAGAAAGAGAGTAGATAAATAAATTACAAAAAACAACTTAACTAGAATATAGTTGTTTAATGAAATCAGTTGAAAACTTGATTACAAAGGAAACCTTTACCAGGATGAGGCAATTTTCAGGCATAGGGTTTAAATGTGATTAAAAGCTTTGACAAAACAGATAGAGGAAGGTGCTCTGTTAATCTGGGAAATATGCAGATACTCTTAATCTTATGAAAGAGTGGAGGTGGGGCAGCATCCCTATACTTCAAAGAATTAATGTGAAACATTTGCTTTTACTAAGTAAAGAGACAAGTGTTACAGGAATGTCCTTTAGTTACTCAGGAAAAAAATATTTCTTTAAAACTCCATATGTGTTTATAAGAATAAAGCCAGCAAGCTTTCAGATACTTGTACATATACTACTACCAGTCATCTTTAGAAGTCCAAAGAGGATTCCTTGTGTGTGTGTGTGTGTGTTGTGTGTTTTTTAAATAAATAATATGAAAATTATAATATGTATTTATTAGTTCTTTTCCCCACTTTTTTGTTTCATAGAATGACACACTCATCTATGTGGCTTCTACTTCTAGCCCTCTTTCTGACAGATGGTATTTTTTCCATAAATGTGGAAATAAAAGAAGAGTGGTTTGTTTTTAGGATAAACTAAAAAAATACCTGTAGAATCTGTTTGCTAAATGATGAGTATGCTTGCAATTGAGAAACTGTACAGCAAAAAGTAAAGACTTAAAAATCAAGATAAAAGCAAAAAAGGATGTATTTGTGCTTAATGTATTGGATTAATCATAGATTGTTTTGTTGCTGATTGTAATATGCTTGATTTAAGGACTTTAGAAAGTAATCTATTTTTTTCTTAGAAAAACCATATAACTTTTCAGGTGATGGATGTATAAGTCAAGGCGACATTCCTTGAGTTGTATCTTGACTTTGGGGTAACAGTTCAAATAGCAATTAGTACTATGTGTATATAAACATCTTCAAAATGACTTCCTATATGAATATTATACATAGCACCCGTGAGAGTTAGGTGTTGCTGTTTCCTTTTCATGACAAGATAACTTGGTCATAGAAGGTTAAATGACTTTCCCAAGGTTATTCTGTGAGTCATAGTCAATACTGGAAACAGAGCCCAGGAGTCCATCCAGTTCAGTTCTATAACTCCTGGTGTGCTGACTATTGAAAAACTGACAGATAAGCTGTGTTGTCTGGAGTGCCAAGGATGCAGGAACATTTCTTCTTAATGATAAAGGTAAATTGTCTAGTCTTACTTTAATCCTAAAATGCAATTACAAATTAAAGTACTAAGTGAGAATTTGTAGTAAGTCAAAATAATACCAACAATTTCATTTAAATTAATGTATAGAAATGGATACAGTTTTTCTAATCCAAAGGTCATTTGTTTATACATTGGAGAATGTGGATGTTCTTCATCAAAATAATATATCTCACACCAAGGCATGTATCTTGGTATAGGGTATTTTAAAAGAAATTTTCCATAAACTGATACAAAAAAAAACATTAAAATGTTATATGTATTTTTTCATGTAAACTTGTTTATTTAACTTAAATAATTAAATACAAATAGTATTTATTGAGTGAATGCTATTCTGTTGTTTCTATTACAAAATAAACAATGTACGGTGATAAGAAATGGCTAAATAGTACTATTCTAGACAGACTGGCTGATAAGAAACCTATCTGTGAGATTTCATTTGAGCAGAGATGTAAATTCAAGATGGCAATATGCAATGTCAATTACTGAGAAAGTAATATTTAAGAGAGTGAAGAGCAAGTGAAGTGCATGTACGTGGGAGCAAATGTAGAGTTCTAAAAATACAAACAGACTCCAAAAGGCCAGTATGAACTGGGCTGTGAGAAGTAGTAAGAGAAGAGATAAGAAAAGAAGGAAGCTAGGTAACATAGGGCTCTATGGATCATAATAACAAATTATGATGTTATTCTAAGTACCATGGGAAACCATTGAAAAGTGTTGAAAATAGGACAACGGGAATTTACTTTTTATAGGATTTCTACTGCTATGGAACAAAAATGTTGTGAGCATGAGTAAGAATTGCAGTGAAGACACCAGTAGGGAACAATTGCAGAAGTGTGATTGAGAGATGATGAGTCAGATTAGAAGTGGTGGAGTTGCTGACAATGGTCAGATTCTTGAAGTACAGTCATGTGCTGTTTAACAATGGGCATAGATTCTGAGAAATGCATCTTTGGGCAATGTTGCCCTTGTGCAACATCAGAGAGTATAATTATATAAACTGAGATGGTACAGCCTCCTACACATGTAGGCTACATGGTATAGTCTGTTGCTTCTAGGCCACAAACCTGTATAGCTAGTTACTTTACAGAATATTGTAGGCAATTGTAACACAATGTTATTTGTGTATCTAAGCATAGAAAAGGTACAGTAAAAATGATATAAAAGATAAAAAATGGTATACCTGTATAGAGCATTTACCATGAATGGAGCTTCCACAACTGAAAGTTGCTCTGGATGAGTCAATGAGTAAGTAGTGAGCGAATGTGAAGGCCAAGAACATTACTGTACACTACCATAGACTGTATAAACGCTGTATGTTTTGGCTACACTAAATTTATTTATTTTTCTTTCTTCAATAATAAATTGATCTTAACTTTCTGTAACTTTCTTAACTTATAAACTTTTAGCATTTTGACTCCTTAGTAATAACACTGAGCTTAAAATACACATTGTTCAGCTGTACAAAACTATATTTTTTCTTATTATATAACTTTTCTCATTTTTATTTTTATTTTTTTTTAGTATTTAAACTTGTTTGTTAAAATATAAGACACATGGCTGGTTGCAGTGGCTCATGTCTGTAATCCCAGCATTTTCGGAAGCCAAGCAGGTGGATCACCAGAGGTCGGGAGTTCGAGATCAGCCTGGCTAACATGGTGAAACCCAGTCTCCACTAAATATACAAAATTACTTGGGCGTGGTGGCTCACGCCTATAATCCCAGCTACTCAGTAGGCTGATACAGGAGAACTGCTTGAATCTGGGAGGCGGAGGTTGCAGTGAGCTGGGATTATGCCACTGCACTCCAGCCTGGGCAACAGAGTGAGACTCAGTCTCATATATATACACAAGGGCAAGATCATCAATATCACTGTCTTCCCCCTCCATATCTCCATATCTTGTCCCACTGGAGAGTCTTCAGGGGCAATGACTAGCATGGAGCTGTCATCTCCTAGGATAGCAATGCCTTCTTCTGGAATACCTCCTAAAGGACCTGCCTGAGGCTGTTTTACAGTTAACTTATTTTTAAATAAACATAGGAGTCCGTGCTCAAAGAATAATAAAAATTATAATATTGTAAATACATCAAATAGTGACATAGTCATTGATTATAATTATCAAGTATTATGTATTGTACTTGATAATTGTATGAATTGTATTTTTTATAGAGCTGGCGGTGCAGTATGTTTGTTTATACCAGCATCACCAAAAACATGTAGGTAATACATTGTGCAATTACTTTTGGGTGGCTTCAGTGTCACCAGGTGATAGCAGTTTTTCAGCTCCATTATAATCTTATGAGCTCACCATGTATATATGGTACATTGTTGACTAAAAATGTGATATGACTGTGTTTTCAAAACGTAGCCAGGCTTCTAAGAATATACACATGCTCCTACCTATTATTAAAGTTAATTATTACTAAAGCCTCAGTTAAAAATACACACACACACCCACACAAGCACGCACACACAGACACACAGACACACAGATATGTAAAGAAATGAAGGCAGATTGGTTAGGGTATTTAGGAAGGCAGATTGCAATTCCAAGTTGAGAGTCCCGAGCAATGACACGGTGGTACTTTCTGTTGGTTTCATTTTTTTCCTTATATATCCCAAACTACATTATGGAGAAGTCACTAACATAGAAATGCCAACAAGAAGTGGGGAAAAAAGAAGCCCTAGGATAAGCCTGCTTTTTCTAGACCAAGACTAGAAATGAGAAAGTCTAACAAGACAGAAAACTTTTAGATGATAAACAATCTACTTTAACCAAACACAACAGGAAACAAACAAAGAAATAAGCAAGCAAACAACAAAAAACCTGCAGCCCACTCTTACTTCCCCTCCTGCCAACAAATGGAGCCAAGACGTCCATCCAACAGTGGTGTTGTCAGAGAAGGCCAAAGTAGCAAGCATGGTATTCTATCCCAGTGTGGCAATAACAAGGTCCCTGGCCAAGCCCTCCCACTCCCCATCAATCAGTGGAGACCATGTGGGAAACCTGGATTTCTAGGCCCACCAAGGAGTGACAAGGCGTTTCTACCCCACTCCACTGGGGTAGTGTCAAAGTGGCACTAGTGGAAAGTCAGGATTTTCACCACCATTCTGTGTGATAAGACCACCCCTCCACTGTGTCAGTGGATGCCAGATGGGAAGCAGTTATACCTTACACTACCCCTTCCAGGCACAGTAGTATAGACCTAGTAGAAACAAAAATAGGGAGCCTGAACTCCCACTTTACCCCTACCCAACAGTAACAAAGAGTCTCTTTCCTTCCTATTCTTTATCTTGTCCATGGAGGCTGACTGGAAAATTGGGAAAAGCCCAATCTGGAAATAAAAAGTTGGTGCCACCTTCACCCAAAAAGCAATGTCTTATGCTAAAGCACAGATTTAAATTAAATCCATACTATTGTAATAGAAAATTTATAACACCTGGGTTGCAACTGACAGTCACTCATTATACTGATAATCAGGAAGATCTCCAACTGAATGAAGAAAGATAGTCATCATAGACCAGTTCTGAGGTGACACAAGTGTTAGAGTTATCTTAAATTCTAAAACAGTTATTATAAAAATATTCCAAGGAGCATGATAAACATGTCTACTACAAATAAAAAAAATTTTTTAAAATGAGCAAAGGTATAGAAGAGACAATGAAGAACCAAAGAGAAATTATACAATATACAATTAAAAATATAATATCTAAAGTAAAATTCAATTGACTGACTCATTAACAAAGTGGAGATGTCAAACGAAGAATTTCTGAACATGAAAATAAATCAGTAGAAGTCACCCAATCTGTAAAACAAACAGAGAGAAAAGAGACTGGAAAACAAAACTGAACATGGCCTCAGGGACATGTAGGATACAATGAAATATCAAATATTTGTGCCTTTGGGGTTCCATAAATTGGTGAAAATGGGGGTAAGACTTAAAAAGTTTTCCAACAAATAATGACTGAAAATTCCCCCAAATTTGGCAAACAAAACAAAGATCACAAATACCAAAATTATACCCACAAATTCAAGGTGGGTGAATCTAAAACAAAATAACCCCCCCAAAATCCAAATTGTGGCACATTATAATGAAACTTACAAATACTAAAGACAAATAGAAAATTTGTGAAAGCAACCAGAGAGGAACAAAGTATTAGCTATAGGGGAAAAACAATTCGGATGATAGTGATTTCCCATCAGAAATCATGGAAGTCAGAAGGAAGCAGCACAATAGTTTTCAAGTGCCTAAAGAGAGAACTGTGATCCCAGAATTCTATATGGAATAAGAAGAATTTTTTAAAATATTGGATTCACAGGTACATGTGCAGGTTTATTACATGTGTATACTGCATGATGCTGAGGTTTGTGCTTCTAATGATCCTGACACCCAAGTAGTGAACATAGTGCCCGATAGGTAGTTTTCAACCCTTGCCCCACTCCCTCTCTTCTTTCTCCCTTTTGGCATCCCCAGTGTTTATTATTCTCATCTAGAAGGAGAAATCTTAAAATATTAGGAAGAAAGACAGGAGAGAAAGTAAAACCATCAGTAAGTAAAAACATTCCATTGACCCTTGAGTTTACTTAAATATGTTTGATGGTTAAGCTAAAATGTATAACTTCATCTACTGTGATTACCAATGCATGTAGATAAATGAAGGAGGGTAAAGAGACATAAGGGAGGTATGATTTTGACATTTCATTACAACTGGTGAAATGTTGGCATAAGGGGATTTTAAGTTATATAATGAAACAGAGCAAACACTAAAAGAGAGTTACAGAAAGATTTACACTGGAAAACCCTGAAGATAAATCAAAAAATATATATTTTTTTAAAGTTCAAATAATCCAAGCAGTTTGGGAGGCCCAGGCACACAGATCACTTGAGGTCAGAATTTCGAGACCAGCCTGGCCCATATGGTGAAAACCCATCTGTACTAAAAATTTTAAAAATTAGCTAGGCATGATGGTACATACCTATAGTTCCAGCTACTCAGGAGGCTGAGGCTTGAGAATCTCTTGAGTCCAGGAGGCAGAGGTTGCAGTGAGCAGAGATGGCACCACTATTCTCTAGCCTGGGCGACAAAGTAAAACTCTGTCTCAAAAAAAAAAAAAAAAAAAAGTTCAAGGAATCCAAAGGCAGGCAGTATTAACAAAACAGAGAAATAAAAATCAGAGAAAAAAAAACTAAATAAAATGGCAATAAATCTTTTGCCGTTTGAAAAAGATTGTTAAAAAGATGAGCAATAATGAGTTAATTTTGGAGAAAATCTTTGCCAATCATATATTGGCCAAAAAATTATTTATGCCACATTAATGAAAGGACACTCAAAACTCAATCATAAACAAAAAGTCAAATTAGAAAATGATAAAAGAGGCCAGGTCTGGTGACTCATTCCTGTAATCCCAGCACTTTGAGAGGCCATGGCAGGAGGATTGTTTAAGGCCAGGAGTTTGAGACCAGTCTGGGCAACATAGTGTAACCCTGTCTCTACCAAAAGCAAACAAACAAACAAACAAAAAATTAGCTGGGCATGCTGGTGTGCACCTGTAGTCCCAGATGCTTGGGGAGCTGAGGTTGGAGCATCTCTTCAAGCCTAGGAATTCAAGTTTACAGTGAGCTATTATTGCTCCACTGCAACTGTACTCCAGCTTGGGAAATAGAGTAACACCCTGTCCATTACAAAAAAAAAAAAAAAAAAATGTGCAAAGGATATATGGAATAAGAGTTAACACAGTTAACATGAAAAGATATAAAAATGGCCAAAAATTACATGAAAAGAGCTTCCACAATAGTAGTCATTAGGGAAATAGAAATTCAGACCATAATTGGATATGAAGATACGTGTATTAGAACAACCAACTTTAGGGCCGGGCGCAGTGGCTCACGCCTGTAATCCCAGCACTATGGGAGGCCAAGGCGGGTGGATCACCTGAGGTCAGGAGTTTGAGACCAGCCTGGCCAACGTGGTGAAACCCTGTCTCTACTAAAAATGCAAAAATTAGCCAGGCATGGTGGTGGGCGCCTGTAATCCCAGCTACTCTAGAGGCTGAGGCAGGAGACTCACTTGTACCCGGGAGGCAGAGGTTACAGTGAGCTGAGATCGCATCATTGCACACTCCACCCTGAGCGACAAGAATGAGACTCTATCTCAAAAAAAAAAAAAAAAAAAAAAAATTAATGACAATCCCAAATGCTGGCAAAGATGTGAAAAAAACAAATCTCTTTTACATTGTTTTTGGACATGTAAAATAGCACAACCACTCTGGAAAATAATTTGGCAGTTTCTTAAAAAATTAGTAAATATACTCTTAGCACATGACCCAGCAATTGCCCTCCAGGACATTTATCAGTAAAAACTGAATACTCATGTCTACATAAAAACCTGTGCACCATTGTTCATAACAGCATTATTTGTAATAGGCAAAACATGGAAGAGTCCAGCTACCCTTCAACAGGTATTAAAAAGCCATAGTACATTGCTACCACAGAATAATGCTCAGCAGTAAAAAGGAACAAACTATTGACAGATGCAACAATTTGGATGGATCTGAAGGGCATAATGCTGAGTGAAAACTATAAAATCTCAAAGGTCACTTTACTGTATATTAAATTTATACATAGCATTCTTGAAATGGCTTAAACGTGAAGATGGAAAACAAGTTAGTGTTTGTCAAAGGTGAGAGATTGCAGGGAGGTAGTCCTGCAGGGAAAAGGTAAGTGTAATTACAAAGCAGTAGAAAATGAGAGCTTTGTTAGTGGAATGAAAGTACAGAAAAATTGTACTCACAGATGACAGTCATTGGAATTATCATACCAAATATATAAAATGTATATAAAAAAGTCTAAAGTGGTAAAAGGGAATTATACATATAATGAAGAAATATGAGTCTGTCAAAAAATACTACACATATTGGCAAAAAAACCCTCAACATATAACTTTAAGAAGTGAAGAAAATAATTGAAGTTAGAAAGCCCAATTAATGTGTGTATTTTAGGACTGATGAAAAAACTTCTGAACTGGAAATAGTTATGAATCTACTTCATGGAACACAACAGAAGAATGAAGAAGATATTTAAAACAAACTAAAGTTAAGCAACTGAGAATGGAGGGTTAAGTTCTAACATATATAATTGAATTACAAGAAAAAAAGAAACTAAAGAAGAGACAAAAAGATACCAAGGTAAAAGTTATTTAGAAATAAAGATATACATTCTTATATTTTAGACAACAAATTACAAATAAAATAAGTGAAAAGAAAGTCATATTGAAATAAAGCCGGGTATATAACAGAATATCAAAGACAGAAGGAAGACCCTGATTCAACCAAATGTTCAGGCCAGAATTGCAATACTAATATTGAGTTCTCAACTGCAACAGCAAAAGCCAAGAGATACTGAAATTATATGTTCAACGTGCTTATAGAATGAAAACTAAAAACCTAGCAACCTCTCCAGTGTCATTACACTTCAAAAAGTTAATAAAGAAAGCCATTTTCAGATAAAAGCTGAGAGACTTTACCACAAACTGTCACCACCAAAACTTTATCAAGAATGCATGAAGGAAAATATTCCTAAAAAGAAATCCTGAGATGAAAAATGTATTTATGAGCAAAAAATGTGAAAAATATCTTACTAAGTAAAATTGGCATTACAACAATCAACAGTGATTAATATGTAGTGAAAATACCCTAAGGTTATACTCAAATTTTAAACCAGACTAGAATATAAACCAGGAGAGAGTGACTAGAATGAGACAATTCTAAGGTTCTTCTCTGGTCTGGGAAATGGATTATTATCTCGATTAACTTTATAATTTGTTAACATAATTACAAACATTAATTTTGGGGTAACACTAAAGAACAGAAATCGAATGCTTAGCTTTAAAAACTGAGACAGAAAAAAAAAAAAAAAAAAAAAAAAGACCATGGCATTAAAATCAAACCCAAGTTGGGCTAGAAAGAAAAACGTAAAAGGAAACAAGAAAAGTGGGATGAATAAAAGTTTCAAAGTCTAATGAGAGAAATGAACACAAATTTAAACAAGGAAATTTAAATAAGGGAATATCCTACTTCATTGAAAATGAACAATCTACTGCTACACATACATCAACATTCATTAAACTCAAAAATCACATTGAGTAAAAAAGCAAGTTGAAGGTAAATACGTATTATATGATACTGTTTGTGTTACAATAAGCAAAACTGAATAAAACATTTCATATATACACCCATACACACATACGTATGTGTACTAAAAGTATAAAAGAAAGCATTGATTGATTGGAAAACTAATTGTTACAAAACTAATCAGGATAGTTATTATATTTGGGACAAAATGGGGATTTAATTGGAATAAACTACAAAAGGTAATTTAAAAGTTCTGAAATATACTGATTTTCTTCATATATGAACATGAATTTCTTATATTTACATATACATTATATGTCCTCTTTTGCACATATGTTGTGTTTGTTTATAATAAAACTTTAAAAAGTGGGAGGGAATAATAAATAATAAATAAAACTAGTAACCCTAGCAGCAATGTTTCTAAAAATCCCTATATCCACCTAGATACAACTGGTGTGTGTCATTATTGACAGTCAATTCAGTGTGTCATTTATTCTCAAGTAAAATAAAAGTATAAAAGCAAAATGAATGGTCACTATAACTACTTTAGAAGTATGATTATTATTTCCTCAAATGTAAGATTCTGTGTAATCACTGAAATTATTCAGTGTGTTGATACTCATCATTGAAGCATTTATAAAGTAAACATTATTAAATAATAATGTATTACATAATTGCTAAAGCAATGATATTGTAAAATTAAATCCTTCACCAATTGTGCTTTTTGACACTTTTTTTTATTTCTACATCTATAGATGAGAATTATTGTTAATTAAAATACTAGACATATCCATTTTGTTAGCATTATTCCTGGTTTAATTTTGTATCAGGCTTGATAGAGGCCTCATACTCTCATTTGATTCTCTCAAAATGAAAAGTTAACATAAAAGCTTTTGCCCTTCCATCAGTAAACTCAGGCACATGTGCTCCTGCTGCTAGATTACCAAAACTACCTCAGTCTCCTTTCCCTAATTTTCTAAATCTTTCATCTGTTTTAGAGGGACATGGTTGTTTTATCCATGTCTTTCCAAACTTTCATAAAAAGATCCATTGGTAAACAAAGTACTCTTTTAAAAAAATTATCTTATTTAGTTTGTTTCACTATCAAATACTAGATCTTATTCATGTTTTTTCTATTTATTTTTTGTACCCATTAACCATCCTTACTTCCCTCCCAATCCCTCACTACTCCTTCCCAGGCTCTGGAAACCATTGTTCTACTCTCTATCCTCATGTTTTCAATTGTTTTTATTTTTAGCTCCCACAAACAATTGAGAACATATGAAGTTTGTTTTTCTGTGCCTGTCTTATTTCACTTAATATCATGATCTCCAGTTCCATCCATGTTGTTGTAAATGACAAGATCTCATTTTTTATGGCTGAATAGTACTCCACTGTGTATGTGTACCACAATTTGTCTGTTGATAGACACTTAGATTGCTTCCAAATTTTGGCTCTTGTGAATAATGCTGCAATAAACATGGGATAAACAAAGTACTCTTAACTCAAAAGTTACCAATAATGATCCTCCTTCAAGGGTTATTAATATAATAACATTTAATAATGTTATTTTATTTAGTTATGATGCCAAGAAGTGTGCTTAATTATTCTATAAGTACCACAAATATTAATATTTGTAACTACAAAAATCACTTTATTTAAATTGTACAATGGATTTTGTGAAGGACACTCTTTTCATTTTAATTCCATGACCCTATTGTAACATTTATTTTCAAATACACGTAGAAACATTAGAGATGTAACTATTGACTAACCTGATAATCTGATTTAATTTCAATAAGTCAATTAAGATATAAAATATATTAATCTCATTCTAAACTTTACATAGCTGTTTAAGAACTCTAGATATATGTATGTCTGGAGAAAAGAACGATGGTGTATAATTTCCTAAATGATTGCGACTTTCCCTCTTCCTCAAAATACACATGCACCTCTTCCCCTCTACACAAACACATAGATACACTGCATATCATTTTTTTCTGATAAAAAAGATTTCAGAATTATATTTTTCTGTGTTTTCTGTTTCTGACAAGAGAACTTTTTTCTCAGTCCTGCTTCTGATCTGATACAGCCAGTGATGCATATAAATACAGTTGCCATGACAACTGTTCCACAAACTTAAGGCAAACCCATATGGGCACTAACTGCTGAGTCCCATTGGTCAATGAATAGCAACATGCTCAGCAGACAGATGGAGATCCCAGGTTCATATCCTTCATTTTTTTCTCACTCCTCTGACCTAAAGAATCTAGTTTGGAATAGGGAAGAGAATTTCTGTGTTTTTATTTTTCAAATCACATTCAATAGTAGAGTACTTTCTACAGTCAAAATTCGTCAGTTGTGTGAATAATTTTGTTGTAAAGCATTTGGGGAAGTTCAATGAGATAGCAATAATAACTCATTTAGAATAAATGTAGATTAATAGACAACAGTAAAATGTTGAGTTATTAATGAATTCATGGTACATAAGTTCCGGAAAGTTTTTGCAAACTTGGCTGCATTTCAGTGCTGCACTTGAGGTGATTCTTAGAACTTAAACAACTAAAGCAGTGTTATTTTTTGACTCTATTTAGGGAAGTGCTGTGATTCCCAGGAATGTCATGGGATATTTCTGAGTAGAGAATGTGCCTGATGATTTTATATTTCGTCCGTATTAGGGCTTAAGGATTGGATTTTCATCGATCAATAATTTATTAGAGGCCAGGTGCAGTGGCTAACGCCTGTAATCCCAGAGGTGGGGGCAGGAAGATCACCTGAGGTCAGGAGTTCCAGACCAGCCTGGCCAACATGGTAAAACCCCGTTTCTACTACAAATAAAAAAATTAGCCGGCTGTGGTGGTGCGTGCCTGTAATTCCAGCTGCTCTAGAGGCTGAGACATGAGAATAGCTTGAACCCGGGAGGTGGAGGCTGCAGTGAGTCAAGATGGTGCCACTGCATGCCAGCCTGAACAACAGAGCAAGACTCTGTCTCAAAAAAAAAAAAAAAAAAAAAAAAAAAAAAAAAGCCAGTTGCGGTGACTCACACCTGTAATCCCAGCACTTTGGGAGGCCAAGGCGGGTGGATCACGAGGTCGGAGATTGAGACCATCCTGGCTAACACAGTGAAACCCCATCTCTACTAAAAATACAAAAAATAAAAATAAAAAAACAAATTAGCCAGGCGTGGTGGTGGGCACCTGTAGGCCCAGCTACTGGAGAGGCTGAGGCAGGAGAATGGTGTGAACCCGGGAGGCGGAGCTTACAGTGAGCCGAGAGCGCGCCACTGCCCTCCAGCCTGGGCGACAGAGAGAGACTCTGTCTCAAAACAAAACAAAACGAAACAAAACAAAACAAAAAATTATTAGAAGCCTAACAGCAGTCCCTACTACTAGGCTTAGTAATTAAAAATGAGACTTTTCCCTCATTACTTAGGTAAAGCAGATAATACCTTTTCTTTCAACATAGGTCAATAAAATGAAAGTATTCAAGGTTTACCAAAATTGGAAATAAACCATTCAGAAGAAATTTTTATTTCAGGGGGAAAAAGATAATTAAGATGTAGTGAAGTGCATATTTAAATAAATATCAGCTTGAAAAAATGTATTTACAGACTCAGATTAATAAATGCTAATAGTCAAAAAGCAATCCCATTGAATTCAAAATATCTATGATCAAAAACTAAGAGCTGCAATTGACTTTTAAGTAAATTGAAAAGTAATAATGATATTTAATGACCATAAAAAAATGGCAAAACTGCAATTACGTTTGCACCAACCACATAGTAACCTTAAAAAGATCTAAAATTTCAATTATGACATTTGAAAAGTGATTTATTTTGGTCATGATTTTGCATGGAATTCAGATCAACATAGATAAATAACTTTTGCATGCATACATTTGATGTGTTTCTAAATGCATAGAATAATACTTAGGGATTATTTCAAAATTATTTTAATTTTCTGAAGAATTTTTCAAAACTATACATTTAAAAAATAAAGAGCATTTAATCATTTAATGGTTGTGGAGGTATAGGATTCATTTTTAACTAACATCGTAAGTAAGAATGAGATACTAATATTTTACAGGGAACTTTTATATAGCTTGTTTGACAGAGAAACATACAGACATTGTATGGTATTATACTTGTTTCTTTTTTATGATATTGGGATCCACTATACTCATTTCTTCAATTTGCTCCGTCATTGTTTTCTGTCAAGTTTTATCCTGAAATAAGATCTAATAGAATATTGTCAAAATCTAAGGGCTGATATTTAAGCACATTGGCTTCAGATTTTCTCTTCTTTATACTGAAGGAAGAACACTTCTCCTATCCAAGCTTTTGGACTTCGGGGATTTTGTGTTTTGCGCATTGTCACAACAATTACTAGTATCTCCCATCAAGTCTTTTTACGTCCTTGCTCCACTTCACCACTCCATAGTCATAGCATCTATTAAGTGTGCTAGATTCTATCCTTAGCACTACACAGATGATATACTTTTAAATGTTTACAATAAACCTTTAAGATATCCATTAAGTATCCATAATTTGCAGACTGGTCACTGAAGTGCACAAAGGTAAATTATTGACTTGCCCATGCCTTTGTAACACCTAAGTGACATAATCAGGATTCACCCCCAGGGCTTTCTCAACCTAAATATCATATTCTTTCTTCTCTACACATCTTTCTCTCCCTGGAAACTCTAGGTACTTTGACTCATAATAGTTCACTTGCTCTTTTCCCGGCTATTGTCAGGTTTACATTTTGTTAACCCATTCTAGATGGAGTCAGAACAACCATATTATTAATTTGTTTTATATTTTGCATTTCCTTGTTTAATAACTTTCCTGCAGTTAGCATACTATCACTCTAGAACAACTGGAGGAAATACAGCTTCCAATCAAATAGCCTTTGTGCCTGTTTCTCTGTCAAAAAGCAATAATTAGGTTTATGGCCACTGAAAGTAGCTTACCCCCATCCTGCTCAGGATCCTGTTACCTCAACACAGATTTATAAATAGCACGAGGAACTATAACCTGTCTTTGGCTGGTATTTGGGAACCACAATTTTAGACCCCATTTGTCTTTAACAATATTTTAGACAATGCCTAAGGGAAGAAAAAATATTTTTCTCTAGACCATTTTACTTCATAGCATGAGTTAACATTTAATGTAAATTTTGAGTAACTGTTAACCTCTGCATCTCAGTTACTTTTATAAACATTATTTTTTTTCTCATCCAGAGACTTAGGGACCTCTTAAAGTAGTTCTGCAGGTTGAGGGTTAGGATCAAGTCATCCCCATGTATCTTCAGATTCTGTGTTACAAGCTGAAAGAACACCTCCAATGTGAGATGTGATGTTTGCAAGGTGATGTGTATAGGAGCTTAGGAAAGCTGAATGATCCTTGCGATGCTTCTTAAACCTTCTGCATAGAATTGCAGCACTCCCATTTCTGCCTTCATTCCATTGGCCAGTGCAATTTATTGGATAAAGCTAACATCTGGGTTTTTTTTTGGTTGGCAGGCTATTAATTATTGCCTCAATTTCAGAGCCTGTTATTGGTCTATTCAGGGATTCAACTTCTTCCTGGTTTAGTCTTGGGAGGGTGTATGTGTCCAGGAATTTATCCCTTTCTTCTAGATTTTCTAGTTTATTTGCATAGAAGTGTTTATAGTATTCTCTGATGGCAGTTTCTATTTCTGTGGGATTGGTGGTGATATCCCCTTTATCATTTTTTATTGTGTCTATTTGATTCTTCTCTCTTTTCTTCTTTATTAGTCTTGCTAGCAGTCTATCAATTTTGTTGAACTTTTCAAATAACCAGCTCCTGGATTCATTGATTTTTTGAAGGGTTTTTTATATCTCTGTCTCCTTCAGTTCTGCTCTGATCTTAGTTATTTCTTGCCTTCTGCTAGCTTTTGAATGTGTTTGCTCTTGCTTCTCTAGTTCTCTTAATTGTGATGTTAGGGTGTCAATTTTGGATCTTTCCTGCTTTCTCTTGTGGGCATTTAGTGCTATAAATTTCCCTCTACATGCTGCTTTAAATGTGTCCCAGAGGTTCTGGTATGTTGTGTCTTTGTTCTCATTGGTTTCAAAGAACATCTTTATTTCTGCCTTCATTTCGTTATGTACCTTGTAGTCATTCAGGAGCAGGTTTTTCAGTTTCCATGTAGTTGAGTGGTTTTGAGTGAGTTTCTTAATCCTGAGTTCTAGTTTGATTGCACTGTGGTCTGAGAGACAGTTTGTTATAATTTCTGTTCTTTTACATTTGCTGAGGAGTGCTTTACTTCCAACTATGTGGTCAATTTTGGAATAAGTGTGATGTGTGCTGAGAAGAATGTGTATTCTGCTGATCTGGGGTGGAGAGTTCTGTAGATGTCTATTAGGTCCGCTTGGTGCAGAGCTGAGTTCAATTCCTGGACATCCTTGCTAACTTTCTGTCTCGTTGATCTGTCTAATGTTGACAGTGGGGTGTTAAAGTCTCCCATTATTATTGTGTGGGAGTCTAAGTCTCTTCGTAGGTCTCTAAGGACTTGCTTTATGAATCTGTATGATCCTGTATTGGGTGAATATATATTTAGGATAGTTAGCTCTTCTTGTTGAATTGATCCCTTTACCATTATGTAATGGACTTCTCTTTTGATCTTTGTTAGTTTAAAGTCTGTTTTATCAGAGACTAGGATTGCAACCCCTGCCTTTTTTTGTTTTCCATTTGCTTGGTGGATCTTCCTCCATCCTTTTATTTTGAGCCTACGTGTGTCTCTGCACATGAGATGGGTCTCATGAATACAGCACACTGATGGGTCTTGACTATCCAATTTGCCAGTCTGTGTCTTTTAATTGGAGCATTTAGCCCATTTACATTTAAGGTTAATATTGTTATGTGTGAATATGATCCTGTCATTATGATGTTAGCTGGTTATTTTGCTGGTTAGTTGATGCCATTTCTTCCTAGCATCGATGGTCTTTACGATTTGGCATGTTTTTGCAGTGGCTGGTACCAGTTGTTCCTTTCCATGTTTAGTGCTTCCTTCATGAGCTCTTTTAGGGCAGGCCTGGTGGTGACAAAATCTCTCAGCATTTGCTTGTCTGTAAAGTATTTTATTTCTCCTTCACTGATGAAGCTTAGTTTGGCTGGATATGAAATTCTTGGTTGAAAATTCTTTTCTTTAAGAATGTTGAATATTGGCCCCCACTCTTTTCTGGCTGAAGCTAACATCTGAAATTTCAAATATCAGGCTTCACCTTCATCAAGTTGGAGTGTAAAGTGGAGAATCAACGTTTGCTTAGCAATACTATATTCTACAGTGACCAGCCTTTTCAATGCCATAGAAAGTCACTGTTCAAATTTCTTTCATCTGCCCATATATTCAGCCATTTCCAGTGAAAACACCCTAACATTCTTATCCAAACCTATCACAGGCCGCAAGTTCAAGATCTCACAATAGTCTCCACTTTGTTTTGGATGTGCATTACCAGTCCCCCAACCACAAACACACATACACACACTCAACACAGAATGGTGACAAAAAGTGAAAATAATTGCAATAAACAGTCATTATATAGCGGTTACTGATCATAGCAATCCTTGCTTTTGTTCTGATAATGCAAATGTTCCCTAATCAGGAATAGTGATTTTTTTTTTTTTTTAACAAGTTTTCACTCTGTCATCCAAGCTGGAATGCAGTGCAGTGGCGCAATCACAGCTCACTGCAGCCACTACTTCCCAGGTTCAAGCGATCCTCCCACCTCAATCTTGTAAGTAGTTGAGCCTACAGGTATGTGCCACCAAGCTTGGCTAATTTTTGTATTTTCTGTAGAGATGAAGTTTCGCCACATTGCGAAGGTTGGTCTCAGTCTCCTGGGCTCAAGCAATTCACCTGCTTCGGCCTCTCAAACTGCTGGGATTACAGGCATAAACTACCATGCCCGGCCTATGAATATTCCTTGATTATACCCACTAATGCTCCCTGAAAAATTGTTCCCTCATTAATATCTCTTGATTTCTCTGAGACAACATTGCATTTCCATTATCCTTGTTGGCCACCTTTAATGATAGTATTGGGAAATATTCATTCCTTATGACCAGGCAGAATTCCTAGACTGCTTTTTGCCTGAAAAATGTGTCACATTTTGAATTGCCGTGGGTCTCTTTTAATCCAGGCTACCACTATAAAAACATAAACAACAACATGAGATTTTTAAAAATTCAATCCAAACAGTTCTATGTGCTCATAATCCCACCAACAATTAACTTCAAGACATACCTCTGTCTATATATATACTGAATTATAAGTGCTTTCATATTTTTGGCTGTCCATGGGCCGCAAAGTAATCTCCCTTTATTGAGTGATTTTGTCCAAATAAAAGTATTTGCTGGGGCCATATTAATCAAATTATAATTCTTAACAAAGGTATTACATCTCAAAGCATATCTGAATTTTATCCTTTACTTGTAGAGAAGGGCAATGGTTTTATTTCTTATTTCTCCAAATCCAGGACTTTCTGGATTATTTCCTACCCCTTTCACTTCTTCAAAGAGCAATTTATTTTTCTGACCTTACCTACACCTTGTACTACCTTCTGCAATGGAATTAATAAAACACAACTACTTCAAGTAACTTTCTTTTAGGAATTTCTTCAATCATGGGTATAAATTCATTAAATATGTTTGGCCTCTCAAATTTTCTCAGACAGTAGGTTTACCAAATCCTTTGCCACTGTGTAACATCGCCACAATAACTCCAGCCTCTAAAAATTAACTGTGCATGGAGTGGCTCCAGAACCAATTCTAAATATTTCAGGTTATCTATAGTCAGCTTGTTCAGTGATAAAGCTACTTAATAAATCCCCAAATCTCAGAGGCTTAAAACAATAAACATTTGTTTCTCACTCACGGGATGCAAGCTGCATAAAGAGGTTATGCTCCAAGCTGACAAACAACAGCGTTTTTGTTCAGTTCATAAAAAAAAAAAAACAACTTACATTTTGCGCTTCAAAAATGCCCTCTGTTAGGTGACATTAAAGGACATTTGAGAGGGTGGTAATTGTCATGGTAGAAAAGCAATATCAACTTTTGTTATAGTTTTCTCCCCCTTTGCTGTATGAAATGCAATCACATCACACTACCACAATATAGAACTTATATTTGTATTCATATCTTGCCTTGGTTTTGTGACTGCATAGTTCTACCTGGAAGAAAGGTAAGCTGTGTTGGGACTCATGGATGAAGGGAAAAAAACAACATTCACTTTCAACTGGCTCTAAAGGGATTTACGCTCCTATGGTTCTCTTTAGTGATACATTTTATTGGCACCAAAGTGGTCATTATATCTCCGTGGCTTCTTACTTTGTCTATCTTTTTCCAGATCAGTGCTCAGGAATATAATGTTTGTAAAGGAGAATTAATTCTATTTATCTACTTTTAAAATGTTATACTTTTAAAAACAGCCACAAATACAGTAATAGTTTTATTTTAATATTTTTAAAAATCCTAAATCATTCTATTCTCATTCTCCATTTAGTATTTCATATTTGTTTTTGTATTTAAGAATATATCTTTACTACACTCTAAACTCAAAATTTGTTGTTTCCCATTGTGATGCACCTGAAGCTCACAATTCAGGGCATAAAGTCAATAACTATTTTTATTTAGAACACTTTTCAGCATAAAATTGAAGGAACATACACATTTTATAACATTGATAAAACATAGAAAAATAGCCCAACTGCATAATCTTCTAACAACTTTTAGTCCTCTATTTGTCTTTTTTTAATATATACTTTGTTTTCCCTTTTCACTATATTTTATCCATTAACATACAGTTCAGATTCTGCCTCTTTATCATTTGCATTATCTCTCTCTGTCTCTCTCTCTCTCCCTCTTACACACACACACACACACACACACACACACACACACACACCCTAAGTTCTTAAATTGACAGCAACTCTTTCTCAATCACCTTTGAATTTCTAGCCATTGCAAAACTCTGGGCCTTTATTAGTAGCCTTATAAATATATGTTGTCTTATTTTTACTCATGAGGGAACGGACCCAAATGGGTTAAGTAATTTATTCAGTAGCAGAGTAAACTAGTGACAGCTTTAGGATAAGAATCCAAATACATTACACTCAATCCAGTGTTATTTCTTATGTAATACATAAATAAATGTATAAATACAAATTAGAACCTTGTAAAATCACACTGTATTTCTGAGTTCTTAAAACTAAATTGCTAAAAATTGTGTTATCTTTTCTAAGTTAACTATATGTAGTACTGTTTTTAGAGTTGAACTAATAATGTCTAAAAACAATGGGTACAGTAGTATTAATTTTATATCATCCAGGGCCTTTTTTAAAAAAATCAGTTATAAATATACCTTTTATAACATGATGAAGCAATAGTGATTTGTGATTGTTTTAAATTTCTGTGTGGAGCCCTCTTTGGTGCTATCAAATGTCCATTTACCTAGATTATTTATTTATTGCTGATCTTGTTATGGTCAGACAAAGAAGCTCTTTTAACACACTAAAAAATGGAGCAGCCAGAGGGATATCCTCTTTGCCTTTAACTTCAGGATGTCCCTGCAGTGAGCAGGGCATATTGGATTACCACAAATGGAAGGTCAATGTGAGGAGACAAGGCTTTTGCTGCCTTTCCTGAACCTTCAAAATGTTTCACCTGAGTCAATGCTTTGGGGATTGCTGCTTTATTAGCTCTAGCGCTTCCACTGAGAATGTTTTGTCTCTGTTATTTTAACAGCTGAGCAGTCAATGGTAGGCATAAAGATGATCAGAGGTGGTTTACGTATGTAGGGCAATTTATTCACTCAGAATTGCTTTTAAAATTGAACAAGTATAAAAATATATATGCCTGTACATATTTTTAAAACATGCATATTTTAATACATGTATATCATATGTATACTATATATAATATATATAGTAAAAATAGTTTGTGAAAGCCACATATTTACAAATTGTGACTATGTTCTGAATTCAGATAGCATCTCCTAATTTACTTTTTCTTAGCTTATACATGTATAGGAGTTTAATACAAATACTTTGGGGGAAACAACTTTCTCAAAAACATAATCAATTACCCTAGAGCCTACAAGTTAGATATTTCATGCATGTTCTTGTCTAGATGTTCTGTACACTAGGAAAAGTGCATAAAAAACAAAACAAGACTAACTCCCATTACATGACAAATGCCAGAATTTTTTAAGATAATAAATAAGTAAAATATCAGAGAATCTATATTGATGCATAAAATAATTCCACCTCAAAGTCAACTAAATGAGATCACCACTGAGAATTACAGCCTATGTTTTGGTTAAGTAGACACCTTGATCCTCTTCAGCACATTATACTTGTAGATTATATTTAAAACATACATTGAAAACATTTATTTACCACTGTATACAATTCTGGACCAAATTTAGGAAAATTAGTCCAAAGACCTTAACTATAATTTAAATGAGTGGCAGCTTCAAATAGTGGAGATAATGAAGGGTTTGGAGTCCTCTGACCTGGTTATATTTCTGTAGGATCACATAAAATTCATGTGAATGTAAACCTAAACTTATGCATTCGAAATATAGTATCTCCTTCATGAGACTATTGTGAGGCTTATAAAAAATATCTAAAGTGTCTAGCACATATTAGGAGCTTATAAAGGGTTAGCTATTATTATTCCTGGGATTGTCCTTCAGACTAGAATTTTTCACACTGGTGTCTGCATATCCTTAGAGGCACAGGAAGACTCTTCTGGTACTAAAAATGTTGTACTATCTTTAAGGGAATCAAATTGCAGCTCCTCAACTTTCTTGAGTACCCCTTCCTAAATTTGATCTGTATAACAATGCATTTGTGCTGTGCGAGTTCTTCTCTCCAACTTCCGTTCATAATTGTTCCCTCCTAAACTGAAAGAGAAATAAAGAAAGAAAAAGAGACAGAGCCAGAGCGAGAGAGAGAGAGAGAGAGAGAGAGAGAGAGAGAGAGAGAAATCTTTTCTCCTCACCCCTAACCAGAATCTTGCAATGGGGCATTGGGGGAATAACCTCCTGAATACTAACTAAAAAGACAATTCTAGAAAAAACTTACGTTGAGGAGAAACTTCTAGAAAGCAAAGCAAAGCAGAGCAAGGGGGACTTCTGTAAGAAAAAAATAACAGCACTCGATTTTATCCTGGTGAAAAACACTCATGGCAAGTCCCCTGAGTTTTTTCCTCAATCTCTCTCTCTTCCCCCTTTCTCACTCTCTATCTTTCTATCTAGGTCTTACAATTCAGAAGTGTTATGGTTATCATGAAAATATAAACTACTAGGTTTCTTTGAATTAAGAAATTGTCAAAACTTTAAAAATTAAAGTTCAATTTAATTTAGCTGGGTCATTTGCTAATTCAGTTAAGTGAGAAATATTTTCCATATACTAAATAAGCTATTTTGTTTGGTTCAAGGTTTTGAGAAAATGTATTTAAAACATATCAACAATCGTCTACGCCATACCATCCTGAATGTGCCCGATCTCCTCTGATCTCGTAAAACATATCAACAATCTTTAAAACACCCTAATACATTTTTTTTGCAACTAATTAAACTCATGATAAACATTTTTGACAGACATCAAGAGAAAATGCTTGAGGAGGCTAATTACTAAGGAAAAACTATATACGTTTCTAATGGAGTCATATGGTAATCACCCCTTTAGTAAGTTACTAAACTTACTATAACTAAGAGGGGACAACCCAACATGTTATGACACTTGTTTGAGGCAAGTTATCCACAGAGTTGCCAAAAATGTTAAGTTTTTAAATCTGAAGAACCATTTACTGGCAATATAAAGGATATACAAACAAGCTAGAAAGCTAGAAAACAACCATGAGAAAGCAGTCAAACAAAGCCATATTGTGAGATTTTCTATGAAGCACTGTCATGATTGATTCAGCAAAGTCAACCAGGGACAAAACAAGAAAGGAAAGTTTGAAGGATGTAAATGAGGCTTCAGGCTTTTAAAGGCGTCCAAACAGATACAACAAAAAATCGACACTTTGTGAACTTGCTGGTTCCTAGATTAAAAAATAACAACATAATAAAATATTTTGTGGCAGTTAGAAAAATGTGAGTATGAACTTAAATGATGTTATGGAATTATTATTAATTTTATTGGTGGTGAAAATAGTATTGATAATACATTACAGAATGTCTTTGTTCTTAAGGAACTGATACCAAAATATTTTTAGGTGAAGTGTTATGATGGTGTCAACACACTACCAAGTGTTTCAGAAAATAACAAATATTTGAGTAGGGAAGAGGACACTCAGGTACACACACGTAGAGAGAGGTATGGAGCAATAAAACATATGCAACAAAAATTTGATAATATAGTGATCGGTACATGAGGATAGTATTTTTATAACTTTTTGATAGATTTGATAGAGCTGATATGTTTGAATATTTTCTAAATGAAAACCTGGTGATAATGTTATCTGTTTTACCTCAGAAAAGCATAAAGAAAGGTATATTCATTTTCCAGCACTCTAGGTATAGTGAATAAAGGTCTGTGTGACTGAAAAACATGGAAGAACATTCTTTAACCAGAGGAACGCTTTAAGAGGATATGCATGTGTTATGCATATGGAAGACATGATCGAAACTTCAACATAAATAACTCATGATATAGTTCTGGGCTTTGCAATGTATAGTTTTACTCAGTGTAAATTTTATCTTTCTTGAAAACTCTTAATACAGTTAAAGTTTGCCAGATTGCTTGCCTTATAAACTATGCATCAAAGAAGGCATGAGATTAAGGCATTAAAAAAAGGCTTAGGCTTCAACTTATGCTTGGAGAATAACTTGACATATTTCCTTTTCAGATGGTAGCATGTAAAATAGCTAGCTCTATGTTTTGCTAAATTCATCCAACCTCACCGTGTAGCCCACTGATTTCCATACATAAGAAATCAAGGATATTTGTTTGTATTGTGTAGTTGGATTATACCTATAAAATCATGTAAATAGTAAAAATTTAAAAACAAATCTAAAAATAATTCATCATTTTATCATTCTTTATATTTTTTCATAATATTCCTGTTTGATCACCATATTGTATTAAGTATATATAATTTTTTCATTTCTTACATAATATTTAGAGTACAATGAAGACCATGCCACAGAATATTTTGATGTGTTTTGTATATAATATTTTTTCTCACTCCATTCCCCAAAATAGGTGAGTATCACTAGTCACAGTTGTGACAAAAAGAAAACATATAGGAACTAGGTCAATGGAATAGAATAGAGATCCTACAACCAAACACATACACACACACACACACACACACAAACACACACGTAATCAACTTACCTTTGAAAAAAGAGCAAAGAGGGAAAAAGTGTTTTCAACAAACAGTGCTAGAACAACTGGATAGCCGCATCTAAAGAAAAGTATATAAACAAACCTTATACCCTCCCCCAAAATTGATAGATAATGAATGACAGGTCTACTTGTAAAAGGCAAAACTTGAAATCTCCTAGAAGAAAAAAGGAGAAAATCAAAGTGACTTTGGGTTTGGCAATGTCTGTATCTATAACACCAAAGGAATGATCTCTGAAAAAATTGATAAATGAGACTTCATTAAAATAAAGTTTCTGCTCTGCAACAGAGAAGGGAATGAAAAGACAAGCCACAGACTGGGATAAACTACTTGCCAAAGACATATTAGATAAAGGACAGTTTTTAAAATATACAAAGAACCCTTAAAGCTCAACAATATAAAACAAAACAAAACAAAAACCAATTTCTTAAAAATGGGCCAAAGACCTTAAAAAATACCTCACCAAAAAAGATATACAGATGAAAACCAACCAAATGAAAAGGTGCTTCACTTGATGTGAAGAGTCTTTGGGGCTTCACTTGAGGCACCTATTAGGATGCCCCAAATCCAGAACTCTAATGCTGGCAAGGACGTGGAAGAAGAAGAATTCTCATTCATTGCTGATGGGAATACAAAATAGCACAGCTACTTTGGGAGACAGTTTGGCAGATGCTTACAAAACTAGATATACGTTTGCCATGAGATTCAGCAATCATGCTTTCTGGTATTTACTCAAAGGAGCTGAAAATTTATGACTACACAAGAACCAGCATAGGTATGTTTATAGCAGCTTTATTAATAATTACCAAAACCTGGAAGCTATGAAAATGCCCTTCAGTATGTGAATGGATTAATAAACATTGGTATATCCAGCCAATAGGATATTATTCAGTGTTATAAAGAAGTGGCCTATCAAGCCATGAAAAGCCATGCAAGACACTTTAATGCATATTAGTGAGTGGAAAAGGTCAATCTGAAAATCATGCATACAACCATATGACATTCTGGAAAAGGCAAAACTATGGAAACACTAAAAAGTTTCAGAAGATGGGGGAGGCAGGATTGAATAGGAGGAGGGCAGAAGATTTTTAGGGCAGTGGAACTACTCTGTATAATATCATAATGGTGGATACATGTCATTATACATTTGTTCAAACCCACAGAATGGACAACACTGAGAGTGAGTCCAAATATAAACTATGGACTTTAGGTAATAATAAGGTATCAACATAGTTTCACCAATTATAGTGAATGTATCACTCTGGTGGGGGATGTTGATAATAGGGGAGGCTATACGTACACAGAAGCAGGGGATATGTGGAAAAACTTGTACCTTCTACTCAGCTTTGTATTGCATGCAGTGCTCTAAAAATAAAGTATGTATATATAAAGTAAAAAATAGAAAATACATACAAAAATGAATATATATGTGTATGTGTATGTATGCATATACATATATATCTCACAATATGAAGACAAAATATTTTAGCCAATATTCTATTGATACACTAGTATTGTCACTTCAGTATATGTAAAAAGGAAATTCCACTTAATGCATTCAGCCGACTTGTGATGACTGCCTTTATGTACCTGGGTTATCTGTGCCCTGGGAATCATAGATAAAAGGTACAGCTTCTGCTCTCCAGGTAGTCTCATGATACAGAGGAAGACAGCCCAGTTGGCCAATGATAAGAGCACAGCTAAGTATGCCAGTAGATCTATATCTATGATGTAGCATACTGAGGAAAATGCTTAACTCCTAACATGAAGGCAGAGAAAAGAGGACGACAAGAGACTTTTTAATGAAGTGTGATTCTGTAAGGCATGAAGAAATAATGTAAAATATATGAAGTGGCAGAAGAAGAGCAAAATATACATACATGTTTATATATAAGAATTAGCTATATATACATAGGTAATTCTTTGAGCATGGTTCACTCTGCTAGTGAACCATTCTGGAAAATATTATGCCATATTTGCATATTGATGCCACTATAAGTGTTTCCAACCTCAGTTTATGTATTGATGCTGTTAGAATATAACTTTGGTTTTCCTTAAATAGATCTTTTTGTCCATTTATCCTAGTCCATTTTGTGCTGCTATAACAGAAAACCTGAAACTGAGTAATTTATAAAGAACAGGAATTTATTTCTCACATTTATGAAGGCTGTGAAGTCCAAGATCAAGGTGATGGCATATGGCATTAGGTGAGGGCCTTTTTGCTGCTTCCTCACGTGACAGAAGGCAGAAGGGCAAAAAGGAACAAACTCTGTTTTCAAAAGGCAGAATAGCAGAAGAGAGTTAATTCACTCCTGAAAGTCCTTTTTATGAAAGGATTAATTATTCATGAGGATGGAGCCTTCATGACCTAAACACCTCCCAAAAGCCATATACATATCTTAACACTGTCGCATTTGAGATAAAGTTCCCAACACATTAATTTTGGGACATATTCAGAACATAACACCATTTAAATCGTTAAAGATTTTTAGTATTCAAGAGACAGTATAATATATGGATAAAGGCATGAAGTCAAATTCACACCACTATCATTTATAAACTGTGTAACTTTGGGCAAATTATTTACCTTTCTTTTGCTCAATTTCATCATTTGTAAAATAGAGGTAGTAATAGCAACTACTTAAAATGGTCGTGAAGATTAAAGTGATAATATATGCAAATAATTTAGCAGATCGTCTGGCATGGAGTATGTAATAAGTGTTAAATGGTACTATTGTTCTTTGACCAAAGCCTCTGCCCTCCCACTAGCCCCTCACTATCAGCAAATAATAGTACCTGCCTCTTCACTGAGATAAGTGAAGCTAGCTGGTGAAAAAGTACTCAACTTCCTCTTACTTCCTTGTGAGTGGACCTTCATTAACTTTTATAGCTTACTCAGTTCTGTGATTCTTCTTCCTCCCGCATTCAGTATCTTTTTCTTCCTATTAGTCCATCTCCCCAGGCTCACCCGAGTTTTCCTTTAGACTTTTCAACATATTACGTTTCCATTTGTTCTCTTCTTTGGACTTGCAAACACTTCTGCTGCCTCATAACACAGAGACAACCTTTCCTGAATTAGATGCTTCTCTCTGCCTAGCCCTCAAGGCAATTTACGGTTTAAGAGCCTTGAAAGAATGATCTACACTCAAGTATCATCATTTCTTGGACTCTGACATCAAGTCAGGATATTCTGTTGAAATAATTGACATTAAATGATCAACAACATAAAAAATACAGTGAGTATTTAATTTGAAATGTTACATGGACTTACTATAGCACTTGATTAGCAGATATCTCCATTATTTTTGAAATGATCTCATTAAGTTGCTTCAGTGACATTAATCTCTTCTGTTTCCTCCTGTCCTTTTGGCTTCAATAACGTTTCATTTCCTATATGTTTTCCTATACTTTACATTTCCTATATTTTTCTCACTTGAGAAGTAACTTTGTTCTAACCATTGATTCAACTTCTAACTGTATACTATTGAGCCCCAATTATCTACTTTAAGGAAAAATCTAGACCTCTCTGTAAATCTTTAAACCCTTTATTTGCCTTTTGGAAACATCTCTTTGGATTATTCACATGTGCCTTTAACTCCACGTTTTAACAACTGCACTAAGTGTATTTTTCCAATCTGTTTCTTTGAGCTTTGCTTTCAGTCTCACTAAACAGCACAGTCATCCAACAAGTCACCTAGGCCCTAAACTTCAAAATCACTAGAAACGTGTCTCTCTGCATCAGTCTCTAAATCAGGTACTAATCTTCATAGATTTCAGCTGTCCATCTGTTTAGATGAGGTCCTTATTACTTTTGGTGTGTACTGCTAGAACAGCTGCTGAATTAACTCTAAGGGCAAGGGTGGTATGGAGATTCAGAGACCAGACATAACCCCACTATTTGAGTTCAAGTCTCAGCTTTGCCACTTTATACTTTTATGACATTGGACAATTTATTTTATCTTCCATTTATCAACTTTCTAATTTATAACTTTAGGATAGTAATAAAATCAATATTATAGGGTACTTGTGAGTAACGATTGTATTAACATATGCAAAATCATGCTGGGCATGTGGTAAATGCTATATTAGGATTTGTTGTTATTTAGCTTCCCGTAAGTTATTCACTCGTAGATTTCAATATCTTATTCTATCTAACAGTATTTTCATAGATTTAAAGATAAATTTTCAACTTTTTTTTGCGCTAGTTCTATTTAATCTTGGAGGAGAAAATTAACAGAATTCAATTAAATTGTTATTAAGAACTTTAATTGGAGATTAGCGCTTATTTTCACGTTTCTTTAACCTTTAAAATTACACTCTTATTTAAATACAAAGTTAATAGTATTGGATAAGACTTGTTTGATAGTGCCCTCACCCTTAAATTTTTGGAATTATCTCTTGCCCTATCCAGCAAGAACTCCAAGGTTTAGCCACAATATTTCACTTAAGCTCTACATAATTTTTTTGTGTTATTGTTTTCTTTTTATTTATGTAGCTTGACTTCTGCTTTCTTTGCTTTTTAACATTAGGATTTTGTGCTCGTGATAGTAGTGAGCTTATGCACATTTGTATGTGTATGCACCTTCGGTCTGAGTATTGCTCATACCTGCTGGGCTCATTCTGCCTACTCTGCCTAGCAGGCTGCACTCAGCTCTTGCTTCCAGCACAGATACCACACCTGCCAAGGGCAATCCAGGTGTGGAGCAGTGAGGGGTGTGTGGATGAGTGACTGTTGGGTCCGGCCACTGATCAGAGCTAGGCACACTAGTTGCTGCAGCAGAGTGGGCAGCTCCAGGTACCAGCACAAGTTTTGGCTCTTTTTGAGGTTGCAGCTGGACCAGATGTATTGTATGCAGCTTCCGATGTGGGCAATTGTGTCTGGATGAGGAGAATGCAATGGCTTCCAGAAGTTGGGAGACACCATGGACCATAGAGCCCCAAAGAGGGTGTCACAACCCTGGCTCAGGGAGCCCCTATATTTGGGCTTCCCAAAGGGCCTCAGCTCTTTTCTCCTCATCACTGGCAACATGGCAAGTAGGAGGTGTGTTTCAGATCTGTTTGTGTAACAGCTCTTTCAGTGTTGCCATTTGGCAGGTCCTGAGTTCTTGTCCTATGTCCAGGAGGAATGAGGAATGCAGAAAACTGGAGGGTGAGCAAAGTGGAGAAGAGCTTCATTGAGCGGCAGAACAGTTCTCAGGAGAATGAAAATGAGTAGCTCCTTTCTGCATGCAGGTTGTCCATATAAGTGTTCAGCTCTTAGTGGAGAGGGGACCCACAGTGGGTAGCTTCTTTCCACAGGCAGGTGGCCCCCAGGTCTGTGTGAGTCCAGCTGAGTCTGGGGTTTTTATGGGCTCAGAAAGGAGGAAGTACATGCTGATTTGTCCATGGGTGGCCATGGGTGGACCTGGAAAAACCACCATAAGTTCTCACTCCAGGCCCCAGACTCTACCCAGAACTAAAAATCTGGCCCCCTGGCTTGAAGGTGAGCTTCACCTGGGACCCGCCCCTTTTTGTCCAGGAGCCTGTCTGCCTCCTGCTTCCATCAATAGGTCATCCATGGTGCCCAAGCTGTTTGTGCGGAGGGGCACCTGCAGGCCTGTGCTGAGCCACTCTCAGCCTCCCTTCGATCCTCATCGGTGCCCAAAATTCAGAGGGGGCTGAAACAGAAGGAGGCTGGCATGCCAGCACTGCCCCAAGCACAGGCACACCTGGCAGGGTTGTGACAGCACCCAGGCTTAGCCACAACTTTGCTCCAAAATCATAGTTGGCACCAGGAGCAGGGAGAGGCCAGGGAGCTAGAGCAGGCACTTACGAGCCTACGGGGACAGGGGGTCTTCCTGGGCCCCCAAGAGTGCATGGATTCCCTCGTCCTGGTCCAGAGTCTGGGCTGGGCTGCTGCAGATGTCCCTGGGAGTGTGGGATTCCCACCCTTTTAACTCAGTAGGGGGCAGGGCTCCTGCTTGTTCCTGGCCCAGGCCAGCTCTGGAGCACACAGCCCTCACTGCAGCTGGTGTGTGTCAGTGGCTGCTGCAAACATCAGTTAGGTTAAATTGGAGAACTATTGGAGATTCTGCTGGGCTTAAGCATAAAACACTTTTTGAGGACAAGATTGATTAGTACTGGCCTATGTTTTTGAGGGTGTTCTTTCTCATATAGAGATGAATGCTTTATTTACAAATGTGTTTGAGTTCTGAAATTGATATTTTCATTAAAATGTGCTATAAAACCTTTAATCTTTCTATACATTATTTTTCTTGATCTCTAAATAAAATAATTTAAAACTTAAGGGTCTACCCCATAGAAATGTAGTCAAAGTGAAATGATGAAATGCACACAAGAAAATGTTCTTGAAGGAATAAAAATATATTCAGTTATGTTATGGTAATATTATATTTCAACCCTATCACATGTATACAGTTTGTACAGATATACCTTGACATATAATGGGATTATGTCCAGTAAACCCATCATAAATTTGAAATATCATAAGTTGAAAATTCATTTAATACACCTAACCTATCAAACCTCACAGCTTAGGCTAGCCTACCTTAAAGGTGCTCAGAACAATTACATCACCCTACAGTTGGGCAAAATCATCCAGCATAAAGCCTTTTTTATAATAAAATATTCAACATCTCATGTAATTTATTGAATACTATAATAAAAATGAAAAACGGAAGAGTCATATGTGTATTCAAAGTATGGTTTATGCTAAATATGCATTGCTTTTGCACTGTCAAAAAATTGAAAAATTTTAACTCAAACCATCTTAAATCATGGGCCATTTTTATGTGCATGCACAGTTACGTGCTGCATAACAATGTTTTGGTCAATGACAGACCTCATAGGTGATGGTGGTCACATAAGACTATAATACATATGTTTACCATTTTTATGTTTAGATACACAAATACTTACCTTTATATTAAAATTGCCCACAGTATTCAGTATAGTAACATACTGTACAGGTTTGTACCCTAGGAGGAGTAGGTTATATCATATGTCTAGGTGTGCAGTAGGCTATACACAATAGGTTTGCATAAGTCCACTCTATGATGTTCACAAGTGGATGAAATTGCCTAAAAACATATTTCTTTGAACATATCCCCATCATTTAGTGGCACATGACCATATGTGTATATGTGTGTGTTTGTACATAATCTACTTTCAGTTCAATATGAATTCTGATCATGTTTGTAAATCACTTTTCATTAGTGTAAATCACTTTAACTTCCTACATTTTTAATAATTTTTGCATGTTTGCTTAATGTTTTGTTTTGCTTAATTTTTAATAAACCACATGTTATGTATTAAATGTGTTGTTTTAAAATGGTTTAACATAGTGTGCAACAGCAATACATACTTCTAGATACCTACTCCAACTAAAGGGGAAAAGTGAGCTAACATAACATTTTCTAGAATGTTTTTCCCACAAAAGCAAGCGTCTGTTTATCTGTTTAAGTCTACTATGTTTCATCCCTAGAAGCTCACTCAAAATTTATAAGCCACTAACATTATCTCATCATTCATATACTACATTATTATAAGTGCAATTCTTTAAGTACATTGATATTACATAAAGATCCTACAGCAATTGGAATAACATTTTGAATCTTGGAGATTTTCATTATACATGCATGGATGATAATATGAAAAGTATGAAAAACACACAGACTTTATTTTGCACTTATCATTTTCAATAGCTTCAATTTGACAGACTCAGTGATGATTTTCTTAACTGTCATTTCTATATTCTTTCCCCTCTACTTTTGATCATCTGATAAATGCTATTGGAATACTTATTATGGACTGCACCAAAAGTATTCTGACATTCTTTAAACAAACAACAGTGAATTGTATAGCCACATAAATGTATTGATTTTTGACAAAGTTGTACATTCATTTTAGCTTCAGTGTTTACTCTCTTTTTTCCCTGCAGAGATCATTATTCGCTTTTCTTACTGTGAAATGCTTCTTTCCTATTATTTAAACAGAAAATTAATATAAGCACTAGAAATAACAAATTCATTTCAGCTCATTTTTCTTGTCTTAGTTCTTCAGGAAGAAAAATCAATTCTTTTTCTCATTCAATTTGTTACTCCACATAAGTACCTGAGAAGCATAGATTTTATTATTTTTATTGTATATTAATATTTCTTGTTAGTATTCAATTTTGTGGAGTTTATGCCCTTAGAAACCACATAAAATTGAATATATTTTCTCTGTCCTCAAATTTGTTTTCCAGCAACGCTTTTATTAGCCACCAAGTAAATACAACCTGTTCTACAGAGAATTGTTTGTATATTTTTGCAGTTGTAAACATTAAGGTATAATAAAATAATCAGAAATCACTGCTTTGAGTCTATAACAAGTAGCGAGAAAGTGCTTTATAAAATTTGATTTTACTACATGTAAAAGCTCATAGTTTGTGGGCATGGAGTTTGTTTTTTAATATAGCTCAGACTGTATCAGAGGCATCTGTGAGATAACAAGCTTCTACTCCACTAGAGCTAAAATAATACATCCTAGAAATTTGTTTTTGAACAGCTCTCAAATATTTTATAGTATTTAAAATGCAAATATGACACTGAATTTTTATTAAGCAATTCTAAGGAAACATAATTCATTTTGTTCACCAACTCAGAAAAAAAAATTAACTATTAAAAATCAAGAAACAGTTGCAGTCTATTAAAATACAAAGAACAATGCTTCAACTTCATGAGGTATTTTCTACCCTGATGCAATTAAGCTAGAAACAACCTACTGTTACACTATCACCTTGCCCTTTCTCCAAGTTAGCAACAAGGAAAGAAACCTGTGGTGAGAGATGGAAGCTTTGGGTATTGTCTGAGCTAGTTTAAAAGAGATATGGAAAAACTCCTCTGCAGTCAAGTAGAGTAGCCATGTAATATATCATTACCATTGGTATTTGCTGACGGGTTCTCTGCATTCCCTTTGTTTTCTCTTTTTTGTTGGAAGTGTTTTTGAAAGTATTTTTTTAATGTATAGAATTGCTTTCAGTGTTGTACTTTGAAGTGTCCTTTACTTTTGTGATTCTTTGCTTGTTTATATTTCTTCTTTATCATGTGAGTTTCTATTCATTTCCTTCTAAATAAATAGAGTGCCAGAATTTGATGTACTTGGCCATCATTCCCCGATATTTTTAAATGTTTTGTTTCAGTATCTAGAATTCTTCATGGAAGATAAACTATTGTGTAAATACAAGAACTTATGTGAAAATACTACTTGAATTGAAAAATTAAACGACAAGTGATAAATAGGCTTAGGTTCAAAATATTAAAAGTATATTATAGAGTTTGATATTTATTTATTATTATTATTTTTTTTATACAGAATCTTGCTCTGTCAACCAGGCTGGAGTGCAGGGGCGAGATCTCACCTCACTGCAAGCTCTGCCTCCCAGGTTCATGCCATTCTCCTGCCTCAGCCTCCCAGGACTACAGGCGCCCACCACCATGCCTGGCTAATTTTTTTGTATTTTTAGTAGAGACGGGGTTTCACCATGTTAGCCAGGATGGTCTCGATCTCCTGACCTCGTGATCCACCCGCCTCAGCCTCCCAAAGTGCTGGGATTACAGGCATGAGCCACAGTGCCTGGCCTTAGAGTTTGATTTTTAAAGCTCTCTGAGTTTCTAGAATAATCTAATCACATGTTTAATAATAGGTACTACCATTCAAATAGCATCTTCAAGTCCCCCTCCCCCTCTTCAAAGACTGCCAAACAAGCCCCCTTAAATGGCGTTCCTGGAGTTCATAGGAAGGAGAAGGTTCCTCAGACAAAAGCTACCTTGGGAACAAATAAGTTAAATTTGTGTCAATAAAATTAAGTAAAAATCTATGAATATCTTAATAAAATTAAAAGTGAAAAATATAGGTAAATACAATTTCTAGTTTCCAGCCTGCAAGGTAGACATTAAAGGGTGAAAATAGTGAAGGGAATATGAACTTGAAGCAATAAAAATAAAAATATAAACTGAAAGGAAGGAAGACAGAGAGCAAACTTTTGTTTTCAGAAAGTTGAAGAATGCTGTGAGACAATTTAATAAGAGACCTGATATGATTTGGCTGTGTCCCCACCCAAATCTCATCTTTAATTTCTACGTGTTGTGGGAGGGACTCGATGGGAGATAATGGAATCATGGGGGTGGGTCTTTCTCATGCTGTTTTTGTGATAGTGAATAGGTCTCATGAGATCTGATGGTTTTATAAAGAGGAGTTCCCCTGCTTATTATTAAGCTCTCTCTCTTTGCCTGCTGCCATCCATGTAAGACATGACTGGCTCCTCCTTGCCTTCCACCATGATTGTGAAGCCTCCCAGCCACGTGAAACTCTTAAGTCCATTAAACATCTTTCTTTGGTAAATTGCTCAGTCTTAGGTATGTCTTTATCAACGGCATGAAAATGGACAAATACGGAACCCCCAAATTTAATTCAAAATTGCCTGAATAGAGTAACAAATATTTGAAGAGGAAAAGCTGATTCCTAAGCCTGACTTTTCTAAGAACTCTATTTTCCTAACCAGAAATATTGTAGCAACATCACCTACCTGGTCTTTTCTCTCAAATGGGTGTCTGCATCTGTAAAACTAATTTCAGTACAGTGACTTTCAGAGCAATACTATCAAGATAGGGATAACTCTATCACTTGAAACAAATAGCCAAGGTTGATGGCTGATAGAGAAAATCAAACTTCTAATTTCCATTTATTCTTTCTTCTTTGCCAAAAGAAATGCCCTTCAAAATGGAAGAGCATAAAATTTATTATCTACGGCAAACAAAATATCAATAAGGAAGAAAAGGGCATAAATAACTACTCAAAATGAGTTACTATCTGGTCCAGGTATATTGTATTAAAATACTAAACTTTCTATATTAATCATATTTTATTTTGTATAATTTATAATATCTGTGTTGACAGGTTTCATGGTCATGCTTCTTTCCTTGAATTAATGGATACTTCCAAAGCATTTAATGTAGTTTATCTCTTCACATTTTCTTTACTTGGCATTTGAGACAACAATATCTCTTGGTTTCCCTCTTTTCTCACTGGCAAAGTCTTCTTAGCTTCATTTGCCAAATTTTCTCTGGACTTTGTTCTTGGACATTTTACTTTTGGTACAGGTAGTCATTGGGTGATCTGACCCAATGACAATTAAAACTGATAGCTTAAATACTGTCAATAACAATTATGAAACTTGAATTTATTACTCAACATCTTAACTTGCCCCAGAACTCAAGAATGTTTATCCAGTAGCCTAACTGACATCTCCATTTGGGTGTCTACTGATACTGAGCTCTTTATTTTATTTTATTTTATTATTATTATTATTTTTTTTTGAGACGGAGTTTCACTTTTGTTGCCCAGGCTGGAGTGCAATGGCGCAATCTTGGCTCACTGCAACCTCTGCCTCTTGGGTTCTAGCAATTCTCCTGCCTCAGCCTCCCTAGTAGCTGGGATTACAAGCACCCACCACCACACCCAGCTAATTTTTTATATTTTTAGTAGAGATGGGGTTTCACCATATTGGCCAGGCTGGTCTCAAACTCCTGACCTCAGGTGATCCAACCACATTGGCCTCCCAAGTCCTGGGATTATAGGCATGAGCCACCACACCCAGCCTGAACTCTTGTTTATATAACTACTTCTCCTATTTTTTCTCCATCTCTGTGTATCATATTTACTATGTACCCCCATGTGGCTGGGGAGGCCTCACAAGATTTACAAGTTGCTAAATTCAAAAACCTTTGAATAATTTTGAGTTTGTCTTTTCCTCTCTTTCAGTCATATTCTATATTTAGAACAACCACACTCTCTCAGCAGTACCTTTGGAGAATGCCCCAAAGCAAACTTTTTTTTTTAAATCCTTTTCTTTCTCTGATTTCAAATCATCATAATTACTTAGAGTGGTCTTTTACAACAGGCTTTTGATTGATCTTCTTCATTCCACCTTTGTCTAAATAATCTATTCTATACATAACACTAGTGATACTTCTAAAACAATCTGTTAATAGCTTTCCATCTTACATGGAATAAAATCTCAAATTCTTACCTAGGCCTACAAGACATTACAGAAAAAAGTTTCCTGCCATTTTCTTGACTTTATCTTCTATTGCACTCTCTTTTGTTCTTCCACTCTAGCTACACTTGTTTCCTTGTTTTGAAACTACCAAGAATTCTCATGCCTTGCTTTTTTTTTTCTCCTTCTTGTAATGCACTTTCCATAGATATACATATTTCCTCCTTACTCCTTTCCTTTGGTTACTCTTAAAATGTGACTTTATTATACAATGGTATCTTCTCTCTTTCATCCAGATTTTTTTCTATTGATTAGCATTATTCACAACTTGGTTTTTTTTCTGACCTTTTTTTGAACCCAAAAATATGTTACATGGGAATAGGAATTTGTCTTTTGTTTATTACTATGGATCCAAATTGGCAATAAATCTAGACACATAGTAGCATTTAACATGTATTTGACAAATGAATGGATTAATGAATAGCAATGAAATATACCTATTAGTTCCACATTACAGATGAAAAAATTGAAGCTCACATGGAGACAGGTTGTCTTGACCACATTTACATATCCTTTAAGTAACACAGCCAATATTTCAACGTCCATACTTCTTTTCCAACTCTCACTACCCAATAACAAAGAAGCCTATAGTCGCATCGCTGGAAGGTAGTAGAATATAAGTCCTTATTTTAGTGTTCAGGGTCCATCTCCTGAGTTTCTGCCGTAAAACCCACTTTTTAAAGTCATAGGGAAATAAATTGGGTTTCCCACATATTTTGTACAGCTTGTAAGCCTTTAAACATGCTCTTCTTGTTGAGAAACCTGTCTTCCCTGCCCTTTACCTATGCAACACCTAGTGTTTTCTTAAAACACAGTTCATGAATACTGTCCTCCAAGAAGCTTTGAATGACATCAGCTGCCCTCATGCCCAGAGTCTGAATTGAGTTAAATTTCACCCCTATGATTTCATTGCAGTGTGTAGTCTTCGTTCAAAGCACTACGACACTGTTGTCCTTGGTTTGTCTTATGTCTCCATAAGACTTATTAATAGAAGGAGTCGTGACTTACACAAATTTTTTACTATTTTTATTTTCACTACCTAATAATTCAATGCTTATGGTATAAATACATAAGGTTTTTCAAAACCCCCCAATTATTCTAAATGTTTAAAAAGTAGTGAATGTTATAATCTCATCTTTACTTTTATTGAAGCATCATATAAGCATGAACATTAATGACAAATTTAATGACAAATATAAAATCCAGAAGGAGAGAGAAGTGCATTGTATTGTGACAAGAATTATAATAATATTGATCCATTTTTGAGGTTGCTTTCTATTACAAGTGTACAACTTTCTAAATCAATGAAAATTAATTAATTTGATCACATCAAGTTGGCAGATTCATACTGGTGAATAATTAAATTGCTATCTTTGTTTTGGCATATATATTCAGTGCAATTCAAATAATTAATAGAGTTTTGTCTTCAAGTCTCTACAAAAATATAAATGATCAATTGTTTTCAGCATTTGAGTGAGAGAAAAGAGGAAAAAGATGTGAGGAGAATAATTGTGGGTTGTAAATGAAAACCACACTATTATGGATGGGAAAACTATAGGAAATATAGGAGAGATACTAAGATAAATGACCAATATTACTGTCCTAATAGCTTTTTAATGTATATATCAAATGGTTAAAAACATGCATATTTGGGTGCATAGCCAATGACGCACATGAGTGTACCACATATGGGGGCGCATACTACCAGGCATAGTAGATAGATACATACACACTTATATGTTCATAGAATGACAAAAACTTATATGACCTGAAAAGATATGGCCCAAGGCATGCATGAAATCAAGCTATGAGGCACAAGTGCATGTTCTCAATCAGTGAAACAACTTGAAGTTTTTCCTAAGTTGTATTCTCTGTGGATCAGAGAAGAATAACAATAATCAGTTTTAATGTAAACATTCCAAAAGAAACCTATAAATACTATTATGACAACCTGATTTTCCTTACAAGAAAATTAAAATACAAATAAACTATCTCCTAGGTCCTGTAGAAAATAATACTCTAAAAGATTTAGAAATTGAAAAATTTGCAGCTAGAAATCTTGTAAAAAGTGTATACTGTGATACTCCAGAAAACCAAATAGTAAGAGCCAATCATCAAAATAGATCAATATCTATTCATGCCATACTACATTAATTTTCAATATAAAATTATAAACTTTATAATCTTATATGTAAGCTAATGTGGCATTTTTGGGGCTGCTTTTGATCAACACCAGATTAGTTATCTATAAATTATCTGTAGGACTCAGGCAGTGCAAAAAATATGTCTTAGCCTGTAAAATTACTCTCACTGAGAAAATATTCACTCCTTGAGAGAAACATGTGGGTACAGAGACCTCTGTGTTTGTATTTGTTTTCTTGTTCTGTGTTTTAGTGAATAATTATGGTTTATGATTTTTTAAAATTTAATTTGTAAAGTAATACAGTACTAGGAAAGTTGAAATTATTTTCTATATAATGGTTCACCAACAAAGCTTAAATAGATACCTTACAGGTAAAGACAGATCCTATTTCCCATGACTATTTTTAGCATTTCCCTTTAAATTATTTAAAAGTATAGCTAACTCTTCAAGTCTCAGTATTATCTATTCTAGGCTACACTGCTTTTACCTAGATATTTATCCTATGTATGCCAGGAACTCAAAGTTTGAATTTCACTTTAATAAGTTTACTTGTGTTTTTTTTTTTGAGATGAAATATTGCTGTGTTGCCCAGGATGGAGTGCAGTGGCACATAATAATGTGTATCAATATATACCTATATAGATGTATATGTATTTGTGTGTATGAGCAATTGCTGGGAAATTGTATTTTGAGCAGAATAAAATTACTGGAAGAAACTTATAAAATGTCTAAATTCTAGAATTTTGTTGTGAGTCTTAAAAGTAAATATTTTTCAAATAAAAATACACATTTGATTTATTGCAATACGACACATTCCAAATAAACTTTTTCCATTTCTGATTTGTATTATCACGGTTTGTTGATAAGTTCTCATATTGTTTTGAGATTAACTTTCCAACAGCATTTCCCTTGAAACCTATGAAAGATGACAAAACAGTGGATTCATAATTTCAATCCGGTTGTTTTCTCTGAACACCAACAATAGCACCATAGCTCTTATGGCTATCATCAATAATATTATCAACTTTTATTAACTATAATCAAATGTAATACTAATGTATTTTGATATAAAAACAAAATGAAAAATAATTTGTACATATGCAAGAGTAACTTAAAAACATTGTATGATTATTTATAGTTTTCTAATTAAGAAAACATATATTCTTTGCAATTAATTTTTACTTAGAGTTCTAGATTTTGAGCTTGAAAGCTATTATTCTTCTAGCATATATATGTCAATAGTAATCTAGTGCTGTCAGCATGTACCTTTGCCATGTGACTTTGCCTTTGGGATCTTTCTCCCTAAAACTGGTAATAACCCCGACATGTCCATGAGAGAAACATTCAACCAATTTCCAGTAAGGGGCATCTTATAAAATACCTGATGAACAAAAGCCACTTAACAATGAAAGCCCCAGGACAAATGGCTTCACTGGTGGAGTCTACCAAACTTTTAACAAATAACTAATACAAATCCTTCTCAAACTCTTTGAAAAAAAAAAAAAAACTTGAGGGGGAATACTTTCGAATGTACTGAGTAAAGCAAAATCTAAAGTCAAAGCCAGGCAAAGACAATACAAGAAAGAAAAATTACAGACCAATATCCCCAAATAAAGATACAAAAATCCTCAACTAATTACTAGCAAACCAAATTCAATAACAGAATAAAAGGATCATTCACCTTGATCAAGTGGGGTTTATCCCAGGAATAGAATAAGCTATGAGATTAACCCAAATGTCCATCTATAAGCAAATAGATAAAGAAAATGTCGTATATGCATACAACAGAATATTATTCGGCCTTAAAAATAAAGATGGAAATTCTTGTCATTTGCAACAATATAGATGAACCTGCAGGACATTATTCTAAGTGAAATAAGCAAGACAAAGAGGGACAAATACTACATAAAATCATTTATATGATGAATCTAAAATAGTCAAACTCATAATAGCGAAGAATGAAATGGTGGTTGCCAGTGGCTGAGGGAAAGAAGAAAAATGGAGCATCGTTGCTAAATAGAAGTAAAGTTTTAGGAAGGCAAGATGAAAATGGTCTAGAGATCTGCAGTACAACATAGTCCGATAGTTAATACAATAATGAGCACTTCAGAATTTGCTAAAGAGAGTAGATCTCATGATAAGAGTTCTTACAACAGTGATTTTTCTTATTTTTACTAATATATGACAATACTTTATTGATTTAATGGGAACAGCTTGAGAGTATATTTTGGTACAAATAAAACGATGTATTTATTCTTGTTTTGATAATTTTCCCTGCTATACTTGGGCATTTATTTCATTTAAAATATAAGATATTTTAATCAAAGCGAAATAAGCAATACATTTGTTTCTAATTATTAAAACATGCAGTGTTTATCTTGTACATATGATTAATACTAGATACATTAACATATATCTAAAATAAGGATTTCTAATCTTTTGGCTACCCTGGGCCACATTGGAAGAAGAATAATTGTGTTGAGCCGCTCATAAAATACACAAACACTAATTATAGCTGATGAGCTAAAAAAAATCCAAAAAACAAATTTCAAAATGTTTTAAGAAAGTTTGCATGAATTTGTGTTGGGCCACGTTCTAAGCTATCTTGGGCTGCATGTGGCTTGCAGGCTGCAGGTTGGACAAGCTTGATAGAAAATGAATTGTTTTCCTAGACTATTTTGCACAGCAGGGATATATTAATCTTAATCAATTTAATTTGGTAAGATAAATATTTGCATTTTTTTACTATTGCTCATGGAAGTTTTTCTTAAAATTTAGTCTTCTGAATTTACTAATTTATTTTAGTTATTCATTTTAGATATAAATGTTTATTTTCTCTCTTTGGTAACCACATAATTTAAATTGAGATATTTATGAGTGTATATGTATATACTTGTTTTATAAGTAATCTTTACTATTTTATTTTTGTGTGTGTTGTCATTTTGCAATACAAAAACCTGTATTCTAAAAACATAAAATCCTACAAAACTAGGACTTACGTTACAATTATGACATTGCATTAACTGGCTTTACTTTCTTAATTAAAATTACTTGTAATATTTGTAGATAGGTAATAGATATAAACATAAATATATAGTTTTCTACAAAATATTAAAATATATTAATATCAGTTATAGTTATAAATATAATTTTCAAAGGAATAGTTCAAATTTCATTGTTTTCAGCTAGTAGTATTTTAATTAGTACAGTAATTTTGATTTATTTAACCCCAGAATGACATTCAATTTCATATAATAAAGTTATTTGGGTGTAATAAAAATGTAAAAACAATCACAACATTTTAAAAAAGTATTTTTAATGCAGAAATGGTTTGCCTTTAAGAATTATCAGACAACTTTAAAATATGTCATGTAAAGTCTTTGTACATATTTAAATGTGATGCAGGAATATACTGATAATATTACATTTATAATCATAATAATCAACAAAGACTATAATACAAAAAAAGGAAACGTGGACTAGTCAGGGGGATGGCAGGATAAAACTAGTAATTGTGGTATCTTCCAATTAGATTGCAATTGCTATAGAATCAAGCTATAACCTTCTAAGACAGTTTCCATGACCAAAGAAAGGGTCAGGACATAGCTAAAAGCAACATAATCTTGGACGCTTAGCATTTCATGGGTTATCAACCAGATTATTAGTGAAATGTTTTTATGTTCCTCTTTCTTGTTGTCATGTGTCATGGGGGTCTTTATTTATTTGAGGTCCTACGTTTTTCTAAATTTCTAATGTAACACAGTAGTTGGTAGCTTCCCCATCCTCAACTTTGGCTCTATTTCCAACCTTTCAGGACTGACCTTCCATTTATATTCACCAATCATTAGATAATAAATTTCTGTTTAGAGTATCAGTTAAAAACTTCTCATACATACCACCTATCAGCCATTAGTTGGCCTTAAAGGTAGGCCTCAGATAAAAGTTATAACCAGTATGAATAAACTAGTAACCATGTCTAAGAGGTATTGTGTATGATTTAACAACTAAAGATGAGTTCATACAAATATACATTGACCTTCAGATTTTGTAGATTTTTATCCTTGTTATATCTCTTCTTGTCCATTCTCTTAACACTGTCCGTATATTAAATTTGATGTGATCCAGTTCTTCATCATCTCTTCCTTTGTTTACTGCAATAGTCTCGTAATATATCGCCCTGTCTACAATCTCGTCTACTTAATTCCTTACTCCTAATTATCTCATTCATTTACTTGTTAATGGTTAAATGCTTAAAACAGCTCTTTTCCATGTGTTATGTAGTACAAAATTTCATGAAATATTAATAGGGGTTATCCTTTGTGCCACCCTCTTCCCTGAAAAATAAACAAATATAATAAAAATTAAATATTGTTTCAATGATAAATGCATTTGGAGAATGAAGCTAAACACAATTAAACTCACTTTATTTCTTTTATATCCTTTGTTGCTTTCAAGCATAACAAGAATCTCTAAAGGGAGGCAGTGAATATGACATTTTGCACATGGATTCTCTCTCTCTGGTTTGATCTCTTACAAATATTTCATGATGCACACCTCATTTGATTCAGCTTAAAATATCAATTGAATGTATTTAACATGTCATTGAAAATATTTTTCTCCTCTAAACTCCACACATCTCTATAGGAATCAGGCATCTGATTGCTTCTTCTTATGTGAAAAAAGTATCCACTTTTCTCTGACTCTTTTACATTTTCCCTTGAAGTTTAATTAATTCCCTTATTCATCAAAGTTTTCATCATGTTTCAAGGAAAAGCTTGAATATGATTTGATTATCAATCTTTAAAATATGTGCAATATTATGGAGAAAAGATTTATTTGTAGTTTGTATGCTCATAATTGTTATTTCAGTTTGAACATATTTTCACATATTTGTTTTCCTTTTTACTCTTTGGAATTGAATAAAAATATATTTTGTTCACTTTTCTGTTAGTCTTTTAATTGTTAATTTTTAAAAGTGCTTTGTAAAATCTAGGTATTATTTATTTGCATATCTACAAGCTCAATATATTCTCCAAGTATGTAGGTAGTATTTAAATGTGTGTATCTTATTTTCCCTAATAAAAATAATGAAAATACTTATGTTGTTATTTTTCCTTTTGGACATCTGGAATTTGTAACTTGCTTAAGAATGTATTTCAACCAGATCATGTAAATGTATGCCCATTCTCCCACTGATTTTTCTTCTACTTGTTAATAGTTTTGCTTTTTATACTTAGCACGTTAGCATATTTGAAGTTTATGACATCAAGTAGTGACTCGAGTTATTTTAATGGAAAGCAAGTCATGTTAAGATCACTTCTTGAACAACTTATGCTTTTGTCATTGACATGATGTGTCTAATTGAGGTTTATGTTGTATATATCCTGATTGGGGTTCACTGAGATTTTTGGATTTGTAGATTAAAGTATAAGTTAAATTTTGGAACTTTTATTATTATTTTTTATTTAAATATTTTCTCTGTCCCCTTCCCTCTCACCTTGCCTCCTGGGACTACAATGACAAAACTGTAGATCACTTGATATTTTCCAATATGCTTTTGAGGCTCCGTTCATTTAAAAAAATTTTTTTTCTCCCTTCCTATTTTTTCCTGGCCCTTACTTCTGCCAACTCCAACCAATCCAATTGATTTTATTTTCCTAATCTATTCATACATTAAGATTCTAATTATCTCTAAATTATTGAACACATTAATCATTCTTTAAAGACCTTGTCTGCTGTTCAAACATGCGGACCATTTTGGAATCTTTTTCTTTATTTAAAAATATTGTTATATTTTCTTCTTCTTTGCATGAATGGTAATTTTAACTGCATTATAAACATTGATTTTATGTATTAAGGAGTACAGAGGGAGTAATGCATAAGGAGTATGTTGATATCTTATAAAGAGTGCTGAATTTTGTTCTATCAAGCAGAACCAGTTATTTTACTAATAGCCTGCTTTAATATCATTGAAGATTGATTATAGGCTCTGTTAAGGTGGATGTAGATTAGCTCTTACTTTATTTTCTAGTTCTTCTAAGATATGGTCTTTCTGGTCTCAGTAGAATGCCAGCTCTTATAAGGTTTTCCAGTCCTTTGTTGCTAACTTTAGCTGTAAATTAGATGTTAAGCCTTAATTAGATATAATGCTTTCTCTAGTTTCTGATAGAAAATGTTAGTCAAGTAAATTTAATGAGCACTACATTTTTATCAAATAATTTTTGATTTCATGGTCTACTGACATAGTTTTATTATATGGATATTAAAATACACTAATATGATCTATTTAAGATAGGAAGATAGTAGAAAGATGATAGATAGATAGATAGATAGATAGATAGATAGATAGATAATAGATAGATATCCCAATGTTTCAGTAGAAAGATGATAGGTAGATAGATAGATAGATAGATAGATAGATAGATAGACACATAGATCATAGATAGATATCCCAATGTTTAAATGTTCTTGCAAACCTGAAATAAATCATACTTGGAATAAGGTATTCTTTTTAAGTACAAGTTATATAATCCATTTTATATGTGCGATTTAGCTTATACTTTACTTCTCTCATTTTGTCTTTTGTTGTTGAAATTGAATTGTACTAGGCTCATAATGAGGTGGAAATACTTCTATTTTTTTTCTTTAATGAGGATAATTCATATAACATATGACCTCTATGGTTTTTAAATGTTTGCAGAATTCGTAAGTCAAATAATTTTGAATTGTTATTTTTATAAGGTAAATATTTGACTACATTTTTATTTTTAATTATTCTTAGCTTATTTCTATTTCCTATTTCCTGTTTTATATTTTCTTAGAAAATTTGCCATTTCAGCAAACATTGAAATTTATCTGATTCCCATAACAATATCTCTAAAATAAATTACTAAACAACAAATAATTAAATACTACTTATAATTATTTACACAACAAATCATTAAATACATATACCATTTCTTTACTTTTTGTCTCTAATATCTTCTATTTCTATCTTATCCATATTTTCTATATTTTGCCAATTACTTTCCTGTCATCATTGATCTTATTAATATTCTGGCATCTATTTTTTGTTTTTTTTTCTGTAAGTTATATTTTATCTTTGCTTTTTTCTATTTTATTTGATCTTATTATCCTCATTCTTTTTATTTGATTTTAGAACTTAAAATTTGTTAATATTTACTTTTCTTTTTTAAATAAACATATATAAGTCTGCACACTATTTAATGTAACATTGTAGCTGTATTTTACAGTCACTTTAAATGTAATGCTGTTATTTGGAAACTTTGTTGTCATCTGTGACTTCTAGGTTCAGTAATTATTTAAATTATATTTTTAGAACTTCTTAGTAGACAAATATGTTAGCTATATATTCTTAATTTCCAGTGATTTTGCATTGTGGTCAGAGAATGTATTTCATGTCACTTATTTGTTATGTAATGTAAGGTAGTTTGTATTAATATTCCAAATACGTGTGAAAAGATCAATCAAACTTTGATATGCAATAGTTCTCTATATATTTAGTAAATCAGGCTTACTAACGGTATTATATAACTAATGTATATACGCTTTTTTTCTTGTTTTATTAGTTTTGGGAAGAAACTTTGTGGATTTTTCTTAATGTTTTTATACTTCTAGCTATTTGGAGGTTATGAATTTAAAAACATTTTAGCTACTTTCATTTTCACAATTTCTTCCTGACAGACTCTTTGATAAACATGAGCTATTCTTTTTTGTCTTTATTAATGGTTCTTACCATAAGTTCTTTGTGTCTAATATTAGTGGTTCCATCATCTCTTTATTTTGTTACAATTTGCCTCATGAATGTTTTTCCCTTTTTATAATTTCATGTCTTGGTGGAAGACAAGTGGAACCAACCTGTCACATGGCAACAGAGGAAGCAGGAGACAGAGAAAGAGGTGCCAGCCTCTTTTAAACAATCAGATCTCATGGGAACTAACAGACCCAGAACTCACACATTATTATAAGGATGGCAGCAAGCCGTTCATGAGGAATGTGTCCCCATGACCCAAATACCTCTCACCAACCCCACCTCCAACATAAGGGATCAAAGTTTAATATGAGATTTGGAGGTGACAAACATCCCGACTATATTAGTATCCATAAAAGGAAAGTGAAAGAAGGTAAATTTCATGTCTGGTCAGTGACCTGGGTTAATAATGCTAGCCTTTTTAGACAACCATCCATTCCATATACATCTTGTCCTCTGACAATGCCATATTTTGTCAGAGATGCTTACCTGCTAGGGTGAGCCAAGTCTTTGTTTCTGAAAGTTCTACCACAGTTCCACACTGGTCTTCATTACTGGATATAGGATTGCTAGGTGCCATCCCAGTCAGTCTCCTGGTTTCCAGACAGAGTCTTCTTTAGCTACAGCTTACAAACAACCTGATTTTTGCTTAGTTATTGGGATTAATCATCCCAATCTCTTACTTACCTATCGATTCAGTGGCTTGGGGAGCCCAAAATGCAGAAGGGAAAGTTTATACTTGAAATTAGGTCTGTCAAACCTTTCAAGCTCAAAGTTTTTATAATTTTAAGCAAAAAATGTATGTATTATCATAATAATGAGAAGGAATGCTGATGCCAGGCCCATGCATAAAGCAGATCTATGATTTTATCTTTCAACAAGTCATTGGGATCTTCTCATGAAGCCATAGACTTAGGTGACCACCGATGATCTTCGCCTTCCGGTAATCATGCTCTCATTTAAGCCCTCTGCTTAAGTATGGGCAGGACCTGAGACATGATTCTAACCCATATAACATGACAAAGATGTTACAGTGACAATCCTGTGATTATGTTACATTATATAATACATGTACATAATACATAATACATATACATATGCTACATAATACATATGTTACATTACATAATACATGTAGATAATATATCCTGTTATTAGATTCACTCTAGAGATCCTCTGTGCTTACTTGATGGAGAAAACAGCCATGTTCAGGAAGCCTATGTTGAAAAGAAGTGTCAGTGACCTCTAGGACCTCTAGAAGTGTGGGTGAGAGTGTCATACAAGACCTGGAGACGTCATGTGGGAAGTCAAAGCATCCCCCAGATTAAAGCCACTAAGAAGCCAGAGTCCTCAGCTCTAGAGACACAAAAAAATGACTTTTCCAACAAAATGGGTGAGCTTGGGTGCATACTCTTTTGCAGTTGAGCCTTCAGACTAGAATGTAGTCTGGCCAACAACCTTATTGCAGCCTTCTGAGACGATGACCAGACAACCCAAGCCATCAGAGAACCGATTTCTGAACTACTGGCCTACAGAAATTAGTTGTTTAAAGTCGATAAGTCTGTAGTCATCCATTACTATTAATAGCAAACTAATTAAGGTCCTAGTTATTGATTGAGGTAGAAGTGATGAAACAGGAGAAATAAGTACCAAGGGGATTGAGTTACATTTCCATGTGATTTACTTCTAGACCTGTTCACTCTTTCTCAGATATACAATTTGTGTGTAATGATGGAATGCGGATGTACATATTCTAAGATTATGTGAGCCATAGTCAGTTAATGGGGTCACAGTTGATTCCTAGTCCCCATTCTCTCTTAGGAGATGACTCTCAGACAATGTTTATTGGAAGTTGAAGTATAATTGTGCTCCCACACAATGGGAGCTCCCATTGTGTGAGCTCTAATTCTCCAAGTGGGCTAGCTAGAGAATCAATAGATCATTCCTATCAGTCATTAATATTTCTACTACTATTTGATCTTCTGCCTCCTAATGCCAAAGTTGCAGAACACCATGTCCAAAATCTCAGACCTAAAGCAGAGGCTTCTCTTGCTTTGGAACTGAGGCAAAAGTGGTAGACCAGTGAGCTTATTGGTAAATTGGTGGATGGAGAACACTTACATTTTACATGCAATGTCTTCAGTAAAGGACCTATCAAAACTTGTGCCTTTTTCTTAGTGTAAAATTGTGCAATCACCATAGAAAACAGTATTGCAGTTCTTCACAACATTAAAGTAGAACTATCATGTAATTCAGTGATCCCACTTCTGTGTATATATCCAAAAGAATTGAAATCAGGATCTCGAAGAGACACGTGCACTCCTATGTTTATTGCACTATTATTTTCAGCAGTCAAGATATGGAAACACCTAAATATCTATTGACAGAATAATAAATAAAGAATATGTGAGATATATATATAATAAAGAATAGGTGAGATATAAAATACATATTATATATTATATTATACATTTATATATTTATATTCATATAATATAAATATGTTTATTAATACATATGTTTATGTAATATCAATGTATTTATATTATATATATAAGTAATATTATATATAATATATTATTTAGTCAGCTAAGAAAAGGAAATCCTGGCATATACAACAACATAGATGAATCTGGAAGACATTATGTTAAGTGAAATAAGCCAGTCACAGATGGACAAGTACTACATAATTTTACTTATAAGTGGAATTTATAGCAGTAAAACTCATAGAAACAGAGGAAAGCGGTGGTTTCCCGTGGCTAGAAGGGAGAGAAAATGGGGAGTAGCTGTTTAATGGACATAAGTATTTAGTTATGCAAGATGAACATCTTGTAGACATCTTCTGTGCAACGTCGTACCTATAGTTACCAAATACTGCATTGTGCATTCAACAATTTGATGAAAGACATATTTCACCTTGAATATTCTTACCAAAATATTAACTAATTAAAAATAAAAAAGAAAAAATAAAATTTGAATAAAATAAGAATTAATTTTATTATTTATTCATTTATTTTTGAGACAGAGTCTCACTCTGTAGCCCAGGCTGGAGTGCAGTGGCGTGATATTGGCTCACTGCAACCTCTGTCTACCAGTTTCAAGTGATTCTCATGCCTCAATCTCCAGAGTAGCTGGAACTACAGACATGCGCCACCACATCCAGCTAATTTTTGTACTTTTAGTAGAGACAGGGTTTCACCATGTTGACCAGGTTGGTCTCGAACTCCTGACCTCAGGTGATCCACCTACCTTTGCCTTCCAAAGTGCTGGGATTACAGGCGTGAGTCACTGTGCCAGCCAAAAAAAAAAAAAAAAAAAAAAAAAAAAATTTAATGAATAAAATAAGAACTTTTCATAAAGGCAATTTCTTAACACAGTCAAATTTGTATACTTACTTTCACCAATGTCATAGGCCACTTAAAGTTTGTAAGATTTATCTCCTACCCTCTGACAATGAAGACATCTAGCATACTTGCTGTTTTTTGCCCTCTACATTTAATAATCGCAATATCACATATGGAAAAGTGTGTTGGTATATGCATTATCAAGGTAATTAAAGTTCTTCCTAAATATATGGAAAAGGAGAGTTGTGATTCTTCTGTAGCAAAACATTGAAGTGAAGCTTTTCTCCCCTTTAGCAGAACATAAACAAGTTTAGATTCCCCTAATAATGTTGCTTCTTTTTACAAAGTGTTATGGGAAGTTGACAGCTTCACACTAAGTTTCAAGGGATATGTGGATTTTCTGATGTAAAAATATCACATCTGGAGTATCAGCTTCAATTATCTTCATTGCCTGATTATATTAGTGATAATCTAGTTATTGTCTGAAATCCATCTGACATTTTTATCTTCCAAATAAATTAATTTGTAATATAATGGAATCTCTACTCTTTAATATTTCAAGGCTTTTTTAAATTTTTTTATTTTATTTTTTTTAAACGGAGTCTCGCTGTGTCACCATGCTGAAGTGCAATGGTGCGATCTTGGCTCACTGCAACCTCTGACAACCTGGTTCAAGCGATTCTCCTGCCTCAGCCTCCTGAGTAGCTGGGATTATAGGGACATGCTACCATGCGCAGCTAATTTTTGTATTTTTAGTAGAGACAGGGTTTTACCATGTTGGCCAGGATGGTCTCAGTCTCCTGACCTCATGATCCTCCCGCATTGACCTCCCAAAGTGCTGGGATTACAGGCGTGAGCTACCACGTCAGGCCTATTTCAAGTTTTGAATGTGATGCTGATATCTGAAAAGTGCTTATGAATGCAGTATAGCTTTTTGTGTAGCACTGTGTTAGGTGCCTGGTGATAGTTCAATTGACACATTCTTTCTTAATACACCTGACTCTGTGTGGGTCGAGACCTCAATATGAGAATTGTGACAGTTTCTGATATATCTTTTCCAACTATGTATTCTGAGACTGAGGAAATAACTAGGTTTAGCCTATTCATCTGGTGGAACACACCAGGGTATGGATGTGAGCAAATATACAATTTATTACCTGGCTTTCAAAGGTTTAGTCTCTGCTGCTGGATATTGTGGCATTTTAGGATTGTGAGGTACTTACTTCAATTCAGGGATCACATTTAATAACTCCTGGAATGCTTTTGGTATTTTTCATTTTCCAATATCTAATGCTTGTGAAAAGCATGGATAAATATTTCCATTATAGATTTGCAGCAATTTTACAGCATTCTTTCTTAAAGAATCCAGCCTTATAATCAGTGAAGCTTCTGAATTTCTGAACTAATTTAAATAAAATAACTTGGAGAGAGAGCATAATAATACATGATGACTCAATGCAGATTTCTACACAAAAGATCTATACATTTTCTAATTAAATAGACCAAGTAATAACTCAGTGGACTGTTCAGCTGTTTCATACATGATACCTTCATACATTCATACCTCATGATCAATTTTTTTTACCTCTGGAGTTGTATATACACACGTAAATCAACACTCTACCCTTGGAATCATAACAGGAACCACCAAACTTTTTCTGGGTAAAATACCAGATAGTAAATAATAGTGTAGGCCTTGGGAGTGTGGGGTATATGGTCTCTGTCATAATTACTTGACTTTGTTGTTGTCAAAAGAAACCAAAAATAAATAATGCATAATCAAATGAATGCTGCTATATTACAATAAAACTTTCTTTATCCTTAAAAGGCGACTGGCTTAACTGGGCTACTGGCAGGGATCTATAGTGACACTCGTGTCCACACTGTCTTTGGTACATTGTTGATATAGATACCAAAGAGCTCAATTCACTAGTGTCATCAGAGTCTATAGTTTGCTTAGCAGAGAGCTTTAAAAGTTCACTATAGGTTTTCTTGTCAGTGAATGTCTTAAAATGTCATAATGGTTTGGCCTTGTTAGATTCACTGCATAATTGCCATATATATTAGTATTTTTTAAAAAAATTTTTCCTCTACAGTATTCCTGGGAAATATTAGCATTACAGATTCTAGAACTCCGATTAATAGAGGCTTACGTTAACCCCTACAAGATTTAGATCCACTCCTCTGGATTCTTGGTAAGTAGAACCATACCAATTCATTTCACCCAGTTCAACCTTAATCTGATACCCTTTGAATCTTTTCCTATAGGTACTCCCAATGTACTTTTCCATATACATTAGTACAATACTGTAATTTATTTGATGTGTGATATATCTTGTAAGTGCAGAACTTGTGATTTTCCCTTTGGGCATAAATAGAAGGAGTAAGCCTATAGAGAATGAAGCATAGGAGGACAGGTCCTAAGGAAAAATAGGCATCATATTGCAAAGTATCTGCTCCTGGTAAAATCCTGGTGAGGGTTTTGAAGAGATTAGCTTCAAGAGTAGGCAGGTTTCCTCATTGGAGGAAGTGATGCTTCTGCAATCAAAGAAGGCTTAAGGAAAGAGTTCAAGTTTCTTGGCTTTGTTCATGCCCTCTAATTGTCTCCAAGTCTCAGAGCTCCACTCCTACCCAACCAGGCCTCATTAATAGCATAATTTTATGATCTTGTGTAGTAAACAGGCATTATGTTGTATATCACTGTTAGATTTGGGGCCTGATTCTTCCATATGCTTGTCCCGATGCTACTAGAGATAAAAGATATTTTAGGTCATAAAAGCTTCCCAGTTCTTTATCTGTGCCTTGAATTTGGAGTCATAGGCCCTAAGCTTATCATTAGTCCTTTGTACATTCTCAATCCCAATCTACACTCTTTATAACTTCCATTGTTGCTAAAGCATTTTTTAAACATCTAGTTAATGACCCAAATCTTTGTCCTTTATCAGCTCTATATTCCATGTCTCTACTCTGGATATTTTGAATAAATGTGATCTCTATATTTCTCAAACATGTTAGGCTTTCAAATTCCCATTCTGATGCCAGTATCTTGGGGTCATCCCTAGTACCAAACACTCAAATTGGAAAATGTATTTACATTGAGGAAATTCATCATGGTTGTTTCCAATGAACATAATTAATGAAGAAATTTTTTACCTAGATATTGCAGTATTTGGGGAACAAATTAAATAATAAGGCATCCAGATGAGAAAAATGGAGTCCATTACTACCTCTAGGCCTGAAGGGAGAAGGGGAAGAAATAATATACCTGGAATTCACAGTCAGCATGGCAACATGGAGTGACTGTGTTGGACAGACTAGCTCTTGGAGGAATATATGAAGGGAAAGTTTCATATGATTAAGGGAATGGGAAAAATAATACACCGACCTCTTTTTCATTCTTCGTTGTTCAAAAGTGTGTTTAGAGTCCTGAACTAAAGAATCCAGGAGTGACCAGCCTGGAGATTGATTCCTTATTTATGAGGAACCCCATCCAATCCCATGGAATGCAGGCTGTACAGGGGATGAAGCTCCTTCATTTGGAGTTAAATGAAGATTGCCAGGTGGAGGTTATTAGGTGAAGATTGCTAAGTGAAAATGCTATATAAACTGCATGCTGTTTACAAGCGTGGTGGTTCTGCTATGGCTCTCCCAGACACTGGACCATCCTTGTTTGTAAGTTCCCCTTGATAAACCCTATATCTCATTCATTGGTTCTGGTCTCTTCTTCAGCCTCTAGAACGTAGTGTTATTCCTATTGAAGTCAATAGGGGTCCAACATGACATTCATTCAATATAAGATTGAAAAATTATATATGTATATATAGGCAAATAAATAGTGTTAGTTGACACTAAAAATGATTAGGCCTGCTTATGGCAGTTTAATTTTTATCTGGGATGATTTACTAATCAATATGATTTTAAAATTTCAGCTGAGTTACTGACACTGTAAGAAAGGTACATGTTTTTTTTTTCCCTCTGCAGCATATTTATATACAAAGAGTAAAAAAGGAAAAACATTATCTCATATTGACTATATGCCTTTCTTCACTAATTTATTTAAGTAATTCATTTTATATCTTATTTTGTGAGTTGTCTTGCAATGACATATTGGATCAAAGGAAGAGCGTTAGTATAAGAATGAGGGAGTCTGAATGTAGTTCTTGGTTCAGGCTTTCACTAATCATGTTTCTTTAGCTGGTTTCTTTACCTTTTGGAATAATGAAGTAAAATAAGGAAAGATAAAGGATCATTCTGTATCCAGAAGTATTGACTTGAATTCCAGACTAATTATTTTCTAGTTTTATGGTCTCATATGAATTTTTTGGCCTTCTGTGTTTTGGTCTCCTCATCTACAAAGTAGATTGTAGTAACATCAACCATCCGCTTATACTCTAAGTCTAGCTAAGGCACATATTTCTCCACACAGCCTTCCTTCTATTTATACAATCTGTATGCAAATTCAGGTGGTTCAGCTTCCTTTCTTAATTCAGAGCCCAAATTATATTATGTCAGCACTTATCAGTTAGTTCTTTTGGTCATTATTAGTCTTCCCCAAACAACTAGTTGCTCTGAGTTGTTCAAAAGAGATTGTAATATGTTTATCTTTAGGTCTTTCAGTCCTAGAATATCAGCCCTGAGAGTAGGCACTCAATACATTTGTGGCAAATTTAACTAAATGGATTATTAGAAAAAAATGACACAAATATTTCAATTATAAAATAACATAAATTTAAAATAATTTCATAAAATGAAGTGTTTCAGTAGATTTCGAAGTTTCTGGCCAGGACATATACTAATATTCTGTGTCAGTGATTCTCAAACTTGAGCATCCAACAGAACCTCCCAGAGGGCTTGATTCATTAGGTCTGAGGTGGTGCCTAGTACTTTGCATTCCTAGCAAGTTCACAGCTGATGTTGATGTTCAGGGACAACACTTCAAGAACTATAGCTTTAATATTAACAAAATGGAAAGTACATTTTGTGCAGAAGTGGGTAAAATAATTTAAAATAATTCATATATAAAATGCCCTTATGCTTTATATTAATAAATTCTCCTATCATGTTTATCTCTGGCTCTCACTTGAGTGGCTTCATAGAATGAGTTGAGGAGAAGTCTCTCCGCCTCAATTTTTTGGAATAGCTTCAGTAGGAATGCTCCTCTTTGCACTTCTGGTAGAATTTGACTGTGAATCCATCTGGTCCCAGGCTTTTTTTTTTTGGTTGATAGGCTATTTATTACTGATTCCATTTCAGAGCTCATTATTGGTCTGTTCAGGGATTCATTCAATGTATATGTCCAGGAATTTATCCATTTTTTCTACCTTTTCTAGTTTGTGTGCACAGAGATGTTCATAGCAGTCTCTAATGGTTATTTGTATTTCTTGGGGTCAGTGGTAACGTCTCTTGTGTCATTTCTGATTGTGTTTATTTGGATCTTCTCTCTTTTCTTCTTTATTAGTCTAGCTAGCAGCCTATCCTGTTTTTTGTTGTTGTTGTTGTTGTCATTGTTGTTGTTTTCAAAGAACCAACTCCTAGATCTGTTCTTTTGTGTGCTTTTTTTGTGTGTCTCTATATTCTTCAGTTCAGCTCTGATTTGGGTTGTTTCTTGTCTTCTGCTAGCCTTTGGGTTGGTTCGCTCTTGTTTTTCTAGTTCTCCTCATTGTGATGTTAGGTTGTTAATTTGAGACCTTTCTAACTTTTATATATGGGTGTTTAGTACTATAAATTTTCCTCTTCACAATGCCTTAGCTGTGTCCCAGAGATTCTAGTATGTTGTACCTTTGTTCTCATTACTTTCAAATAACTTCTTCATTTCTGTTTTAATTTCCTAATTTACTCAAGAATCTTTCAGAAGCACGTTGTTTAATACCCATGTAATTGTATGGTTTTGAGCAATTTTCTTGACCTTCATTTCTATTTTGATGCTCCGTGGTCCAAGAGTGTGGTTGGTATGATTTCAGTTTTTTTGAGTTTATTCAGGGTTGTTTTATGTCCAATTGCATGGTTGACTTTAGAGCATGTACCGTGTGACAACAAAAAGTATATATTCTGTCATCTCTGAGTGGAGAGTTCTGGAGATGTTTATTAGGTCCATTTGGTCAAGTGTTGAGTTCAGGTCCTGAATCTCTTTGTTCATCTTCTGCCTCAATGATCTGTCTAATACTGTCAGCAGGGTGTTGAAGTCTCCCATCATTACTATGTGTGAATCTAAGACTCTAATAACTTGTTTTATGAATCAGTGTACCTGTGTTGGGTGCATATAGAATTAGGATAGTTAGGTCTTCTTGTTCAACTGAACTCTTTACCATTATGTAATGCCCTTCTTTGCCTTGTTTGATCTTTGTTGGTTTAAAGTCTTTTGTGCTTGAAATTAGGATTACAGCTCCTGCTTTTTTCTGTTTTCCATTTGCTTGGTAGATTTTTCTTCATCCCTTTATTTTGAGATTATGCATGTCATTGCAGATGAGATGGGTCTCTTCAAGACACCATACCCCTGGCTCTTGCTTTTATATCCAGCTTGCCACTCTTTGCCTTTTAATTGGAACATTTATCCCATTTACATTCAGGGGTAGTATTGATATGTGTAGATTTTATCCAGGCATTGTGTTGTTAGCTGGTTATTATGCAGACTTGCCTGTGTAGTTGCTTTATAAGGTCACTGTCTGTGTACTTAAGTGTGTTTCATAGTGGCTGGTAATGGTCTTTCCATCTTTAGTGCTGCTTTCAGGAGCTCTTATAAGGCAGTTCTGTTGATAACAAATTCCTTCAGCATTTGCTTGTCTATAAAGGATCTTATTTATCCTTTGCTTATGAAGCTTAGTTTGGCCAGATATGAAATTATTGGTTGGAATTTATTTTCTTTAAGAATGTTGAATATAGGCCTCAAATCTCCTCTGGCTTGTAGGGTTTCTGCTGATCAAGTCTCTAGACTTAGAGAAAGAAATAAAAGGCATCCAAATAGGAAGAGAGGAAATCAAACTATCCCTGTTTACAAGTTACATGATTCTATATCTAGAAAACCCCATAGTCTCTGCCTCAAAGTTCCTTGAGCTGATAAGCAACTTCAGCAAAGCTTCAGAATACAAAATCAATATACAAAAATCAGTAGCATTCCTATACACTAACAACACCCACGCCAAGAGTCAAATCAGGAAGGCAATCTCATTCACAGTTGCCAAAAAATAAAATAAAATACCTAGAAATACAGCTAACCAGGGTAGTGAAGGATCTCTACAATGAGAATTACAAAACACTCCTCAAAGTAATCATAAATTACATAAACAAATGGAAGAATATTTCATATCCTTGGATAGGAAGAATCAATATTATTAAAAAGGCCATACTGCCCAAAGCAATTTATAGATTCAATGCTATTCCCATCAAACTACCAATGATATTCTTCACAGAACTAAAAAAACTAATTCTCAAATTCATATGGAACCAAGGAGCCTGAATACTCAAAACTATTCTAAGCAAAAAGAACAAATCTAGAGGAGTCATACTGCCTGACTCCTGACTTCAAACCATACTACAATGCTACAGTAAGCAAAACAACATGATACTAGTACAAAAAGAGACGCATAGACCAATGGAACAGAATAGAGCCATGAAATAAAGCCACATACCTACAACCATGATTTTTGACAAAGGTGACAAAAACAAGCAATGGGGAAAGGATTACCTATTCAATAAATGGTGCTGGAATAACTAGATAGCTACATGTAGAAAAGTGATACTGGACCCCTTCCTTACACTATATACAAAAATCATTTCAAGACAGATTATAGACTTAAATGTAAAACATAAAACTATAAAAATCCTGGAAGATAACCTAGAAAATACTATTTTGAACATAGAAACTCTCAAAGATTTCATCGTTAAAATGCTAAAAGCAAATTCAGCAAAAGCAAAAATTGACAAATGAGATCTAATTAAACAGCCTCTGCACAGCAAAAGAACCTATCAACAGAACAAACAGACAACCTACAGAATTGGAGAAAATATTTGCAAATTATACATCTGACAAAAGGACAAAAGCTCTAATATCCACAATCTATAAGGAACATAAACACACACACAAAAATCAAACAACACCATTAAAAAGTGGGCAAAGACATGAAGACACTTGTCAAAGGAAGACATACTTGCAGCCAATATACTTATGAAAAAATGTTCAATATCACTAATCATTAGAGAAATACTAATCAAAATCACAATGAGATATTATCTCACACCAGTCAGAATGGCTATTATTAAAAAGTCAAAAAATAACACATGCTAGCAAGGTTGCAGAGGAAAGGGAATGCTTACACTCTACTGGTGGAGAGTGTAAATTACTTCATCTGTTGCGGAAGACAGTGTGGTGATTCCTCAACTAAAAACTGAACTAACATTCAACCCAGCAATTCCACTACTGAGTATATACCCAAAGGAATATGAATTATTCTACCATAAAGACACATGTATGCATATGTTTATTGCAGCACTATTCACAATAGCAAAGACATGGAATCAACCTAAATGCCAAACAACCATAGGCTGGATAAAGACAATGTGGTACATATACACCATTTAATAGTATGCAACCATGAAAAAGAATGAGGTCATGTCCTTGCAGGAACATGGAAGGAACTGTAGGCCATTATTCTTAGCAAACTAACGCAGGAGGAGAAAACCAAACACCACCACACATTCTCACTTATAAGTAGCAGCTAAGTAATGCGAGAACATGGACAGAAACAGAACAACAGACACTGGGGCCAACTTGAGGGTGTAGGATGGGAGGAAGGAGAGGTTCCCCCCGCCAAAAAAAAGCTATTTAGTATTATGCTTGTACCTGGGTGACAAAATAACCTGTACACAAAACCCTCGAGTCATGAGTTCGCCTCTATAACAAGCCTGAACATGTACCACTGAACCTAAAATAAAAGATAAATTAAAAAAAAAGAAAATTGAAATAAAACACAGTCTTTGCACTTGTTTGTAAGTAGCAGTTTATTCTACATTTAATGTATCTTTTCATAGTAATTGTTATTTTAGTTCCATTATTCTGAAACTTTTGTACTAAGGATACCTATATATGTATAAATATCTATGTGTATATTGCCCATATTATTATAGATATTTATATGTTTCTATTTTTATCTGTGTATTTTACTCTAAGAGTCATTCATATAAATTTCAAAGAGAGCCAAAACAAATCTTTAGTGTAAGAAATCACAACAGTTGTTATCATTAGGTAAAACAATGGAAAAGAGTTCTTTAGTAGTCCTTCTTTCCTTCCTTCCAACCTTCTTTACTTCCACTGTCCCTCCTTCCCTCATTCCCTTTACTCCACCCTCCCTTCCTTTTCACTTCCTTTTTTCTTTCCTTTGACCTAGATTAAAGTTATTTACATGTTTTTACTTTGTGATACTTCACCAGGAAGGCAGAAAAAAAGCTGATTTTTATTGAATAGCTGAAAATATAAATAAAGGACATTAAGCTCATTTGTAATTTTCAGTATCCATTTTGAGGTTCTATGAGTTTCTCTCTCCAAAGTAATTGCTGCAAGAAAATAGTTTTCTTTCATTATTGTATTAGAGAATTTATAAAGCAATACTCATAGCTCAGAGTTTCTGTTTTAAAAAGAAAGTAACTACCTTTTCACTCTATTCTGGTTTATTTGAAAAACAGAAATAATACCATCGGTTTAATTAGTATTTTTAGTGTAGTCAGAGATACATTGCGAATGGTGAACTTGAGTAGAGCAAATGTGTTTCATTTCTGGCAAACATTAAGGTATTTTAAAGGAAATGGTATTTTAGATGATATATAATAAATTTTTTATGATAATTTCAAATAGTTTGGTGTACAGCTATATATGTATAAACATATATTTTATCTTGTTCATGATCTAAAAAAAGTACAGTTAATTTATCATAAAATATTATTTACTGTTGGATATCTAATACAAAGACTTCTTGTCTATTATGAAAATATCACTATTACAATAATCATTAAGTTGGAATCTCATCAATTTTGAATATTAATATTTACAAATAATAAGTATGTCAGAAGTTTAGGTTATTAAACACATCAAGTATCTTGACATCACTTCAATTTCTTTTCCTTTGATTTCCTGTCCCCTCAACACTAACTCATCTCTAAGAGTATAGAATTATGTAAGCAAAACTTTGGTAGGAAAAATCTTTTTCTGAATATACATATTTGGATAACATTCAAAATTTCTTACCAAACATCAGCGTATCTTATTTTCATAATAGAACTTTTTTTGGCAACACTCCATAAGAATAAAACAAGCAGCAGAATGTAATTCGCATAGTTTTCTAAATTTATGGTAATTATATGTTGAAATAAGAATGGTTTAATATCAACTATAGAGTTAGATTCACTTGATGTTTGAAGTTTTTGTTTGTTTTTAATTGATACATAATAATTATACATATTTCTGGAGTACAGTGTGATATTTCCATATATGTATACAACGTGCAATGATAAAATAAGGACAATTAACATATCCATCACTTCAAGCACTTGTCATTTCTTTGTGATGAGAACATTCAAAACCCTCTCTTCTTGCTATTTCGAAATATGTAATAAATTACTATTAACTATAGTCAACCTACTGTGCAACGGAACAACAGAACTTATTCCTCCTGACTTTAACTTTGTATCAATTGATCAATCTCTTCCCATTCTTCTCTCCCCACAGTCTCCTCAGCCTCTGGTAACCACTATTCTACTCTTTACTTACATGACACCAACTTCTTTAGATTCTACACATAAGTGAGAACATAGTAATATTGGTCCTTCAGTACTTGGTTTATTTTACTTAAAGTAATATCCTGGAGGGTATGAATAGTATTCCACACAATGGAATACTATTCATCAATAAAAAAGAATGAAATTCTGTCATTTGCAACATGAATGATCCTGGAGGATATTACTTTAAATAATACATATATATTTACATATATATATAACTTACATATATATACTTATATACATACACACACACACAGTGGAATACTATGTATATATATATCTATACACACACATAAGATATATATATAATATATAATATATAAATATATATAAAATATATATATATATATATGGATCACATTTTTGTTTATCCATTTAGCCTTTGATGAACACTTAGGCTGATTAGCAATTTTGTCTATTGTTAATAGTGCTGTAATAAAATGGGGTTGCAGATGTATTTTCAACATATTCATCTCATTTCCTTTGGGCATATACCCTGTAGTGGAATTGCTGGATCATATGGTAGTCTGTTTTTTCTTAAGAGTCTCCATACTGGTCTATAATGGCTGTACTAATTTACATTCCCACCAACATAATATGAGTTTCCCTTTCTCCATATTCTCACCAGTATTTTTTATATATTTTTTTCTTTTTGATAACAACCATTCTAACAGTTATAAGGTGATATTTTATTGTGATTTTGATTTGCATTTATCTGATGATTAATGAAGTTGAGCATTTTTCATTTTTCTTCATATATCTATTGGCCATTTGTATGTCTTCTATTGAGAAATGTCTATTAAGTTCTTTTGCCTATTTTACACTCAGATTGGTTTTTTCTTTGTTTTCTGCTATTGACTTGTTTGAGTTTCTTATATATTCTGAATGTTATCCCCTTGTCAGATGCATAGTTTGCAAATATTTTCTCCCACACGGTAAGCTGTCTCTTCACTTTTTGATCTTTTTTTGCACAGAGGTTTTTTGTTGTTGTTGTTGTTTGCTTGTTTGTCTGTTTTGAGACAGAGTCTCGCTCTGTCATCCAGTCTGTAGTGCAGTGGTGCAATCTCGGCTCACTGCAAACTCTGCCTCCCAGGTTCAAGCGATCCTCCCTGCTTCAGCCTCCTGAGTAGCTGGTATTACAGGCGCCCGCCACCATGCCTGGCTAATTTTTCTATTTTTTTAGTAGAGACCAGGTTTCTCCATGTTGGCCAGGCTGGTCTTGAACTCCTGACATCATGCGATCCGCCCACCTTGGCCTCCCAAAGTGCTGGGATTACAGGTGTGAGCCACCACGCCCAGCCTGCACAGAAGTTTTTAGGTTGATATAAACCTGAAGTGGCATTGTTTGGGGTAATACTCGAGGTCCCTTGCCTCATGCCGAGGAAATCAAGAACATAGACACACATGGAGTGAAGTTAAGAGCGGAGGTTTAATAGGCAAAAGAAAGAGAAAAGAAAATAACTCTCTCTCCTGAAGAGATAGAGGAGTGCCCAAGTGGGTTTTCCAGTCCCCTGGGAAATGCACGGGTTTTACAGACTAGCTAGAGGAGGCAGTATCTGATTTACATAGAGCCCAAAGATTGGTTGGACCAGGTGTGACATTTACCTAGCTCAAAGAAGCTGGCTGCCCCACCCTAATCTTTTATTATGCAAACAGTTTTTCTATCTGGCAGGCATCATGTTGTCTGCTCCTTACTGTACACGTGGTTGGCAATGAAAATGGAAGATGGATCTGCCATGTTGAACATGCCTGGCCTCTAGGTAGTCTTTTCCTATTGTCACGATTGCCAGCATTCACCTGTGCAAGATTCCAGTTTGCTTATCTATGTCTGCAGCTCGATTTTAAAGGCTGCTTTTTTTCAGAAAAGAAATGATTTGGGGGCTGCTTTTTATTAAAAGAGAAACCTTACCAAGGACATCCGTACCCTCACTATCTGCCTAAATAATTTCTTTTTAACTCCTATACCATTCCCGCTTGTCTATTTGTACATATGTTTTCTGTGCTTTTGAGATCTCATCCAAAAAAGTCCTTGCCCAGACCAATGTCATGAACCATTTTCCCTATGTTTACCTCTAATAATTTTATGGTTTCAGGTCTGACATTTAAGACTCTAACCTATTTTTAGTTGACTTTAAGTAGTGAGAGATCGGGATGTTGTTTCACTCTTCTGCATGTGAATATCCAGTTTTCCAAGCATCATTTACTGTGGGATCTTTGTCAAAAATCAGCCGTAAATGCATAGATTTATTTATTGGTTCTCTAGTCTGTTCCATTGGTCTATGTATCTATTTTTATGCCTGTGCCATGCTATTTTGGTTAATATTGCGTTGTAGTATAGCTCTTTTTATTTATTTATTTTTGAAATAGGGGCTTGCTGTGTCACCAAGGCTAGAGTGCAGTGATGTGAGTACAGGTCATTGCCGACTCTTAACTCCTGGGCTCAAGCGACCCTCCTGTCATAGCCTCCTGAGTAGCTAGGATTCCAGGAGTTTACCATCAAACACAGCTTTTTTTTTTTTTTCTCTTCTTCTTCTTCTTTTTTTTTTTTTTTGTAAAGATAGGGTCTCACATTGTTGCCAGGATGGTCTCAAACTCATGGCTTCAAGAAATCTTCCTGCTTTGACCTCCCAAAGTGGTAGGACTACAGGTGGGAACCACCGCACCGAGCACAGTATATTTTAAAGTCAGGTAGTGTAATGCCTCCAGCTAGTTTACTTTTTTACTCAAAATGGCTTTAGATATTTGGGATCTTTTCCATATAAATTTCATACAAATTTCAAGATTGCTTTTACCATTTATTTGAAAAATATCATTAGTATTTTGATAGTGATTTTATTGAATCTGCAGATCACTGTAGGTGGTATGAGCATTTTTAAAAATTATTATTCCAACCAATGAACATAGGATAACTTTTCATTTATTAATATCCTCTTCAATTGCTTTCATCAGTATTTTGTAGTTTTCATTGTAGAAATCTTGCACCCTCTGTACTATCTTTATATTTAGGGTCTTTAAAATAGATATAAATGGGATTGCTTTATTGATTTCTTTTTCAGATAGTTTGCTGTTGAGGTAGAAGAATACTACTGATTTTTACATTTTGATTTTATATCTTGAAACTTTACTGAATTTATTATTTCTAACAGATTTTAGGTGGACTCTTTAAGGTTTTCTACATATAAAATCATATCATCTGCAAACAGGGACAATTTAATTTTTCCCTTTTCAGTTTGAATGTCCTTTCTTCTCTTGCCTAATGCTCTGGCTAGGATTTCCCATATGAAAACTTTTATTTAATCTTGCTGAATTGACCCCTTTATCATCATATAATGACCCTCTTTGTATTTTCTTCCTTTTTGTCTTAAAGTCTATTTTATCTGATATAACTATTATAGTTGGTAGTGTTCTTTTTTGGTTTCTAGTTGCATAAGTGTATCCATTCAGCTAATCCATGTCTTTTAATTGAATAATTTAATTTATTTTCATTAAGGTAATTATTGACAGGGAAGAATTTACTACTGCCATTTTGCTTATTGTTTTCTGGTTGTTTGGTAGATTCTTTCTTACTTTCGTTCTCTCTTTCAGTCTTCCTTTGAGGTTAAGTGATTTTTCTTTAGTAACATGTTTTGATTTATTGCTTTTTATTTTATTATTATTATTATTATTATTATTATTATTATTATTATTATTTGGAGATGGAGTCTTGCTCTGTCGCCCAGGCTGGAGTGGAGTTGTGCAATCTTGGCTCACTGCACCCTCCACCTTTCGGGTTCAAGCAATTCTCCTGTCTCAGTCTCCCAATCAGCTGGGACTACAGATGCACACCACCATGCCTGGCTAATTTTTTAGTATTTTTAGCAGAGACAGGGTTTCACCGTGTTGCCCAGGCTGGTCTCAAACTCCTGAACTCAGGTAATCCGCCCGCCTTGGCCTCCCAAAGTGCTAGGATTACAGGCATGAGCCACTTTTTATTTTTAATGTATCTATAATAGGTTTTTGCTTTTTAGTTACTATAAGGGTTACAAAATACACCTTATAATAACAAGTTATTTTAAACTGATAACAACTTAACTTTCATTGCAAAGTAAAGAAACAAGCAAAAACACAGTACGCTTTATTCTCTCCCAACATTTAAAACTTTTTATGTCACTATTCACATATTTATATTGCCTATTTCTGAAAAAAAGTTATTATTTTAATAGTATCCTCTTTTAATCTTTTTATTTTAAAGATATATGTGGTTTATCTATCATAATTACAGTTTCAGAATCACAGTCACATTTGCATTCTTTTGGTTTGAAGAATTCTTGTTAGAATTTTTTTAGATTTTTTTTTATTTTGGGCACTTTTTGAACTTTGAATTTTTTTGTAAAAATGACTATATGTTGTTTAAAATAATGTGTGCCTGATATAAAATATGTGAACATTTTTTAAAAGGTAGAAAATAACAAATTTTCAATTTCCCACTACTCAAAAATATTTTTTAAAAATTAAAATACATATAACTCTAATGCAAATATAATCTAAAGACATATACATTGCCTGAAATACACACTAAGTTTACTGGGCTCAAACAAATAGTTAAATTTTTTTCCCTTAAATAAAGTCATCTTTTACTACATTCAGGTCTTTGTCTAAGATCTATGTATGTAAGAGTGATTTCTTTATCTGATACTACAAAATTTTCTTTAAAATATTTTTCTCAAAACAAAAGCTAACTCTTATCACTTAGAAAAAAAAACTGCTTTCAAATTTATTTTGCCGTTTTCGTTACTCTCTTAGTGACTCACATTAAGAAAAAATTTTGAATCTAGTCATCCAGAAATTCTTGTTTGCAATTAATATATCTTATTTATTTAAATGGTTTTAAATGTATTTTATTTACTATATTTAGTGTAATTTTAGTATTGTCATAATGTACACAATTGTACTGCCAGAGAAATACAAGGAAGTATGTATTCTGGTTACAGCAGTTATTTTATGTTTTGTTTGTTTGTTTCTCATGAGCTCTGGAAACTATTTGATGTTCAAAAATTACAATTTATGCCACAAACATTTACTAAATCTGTGTGCCAGGCATTCTGTTAGGTTTTGGGATATAAATTCTATTGCTTGTTTATTTAGTGGTAGCTATTCTGAGCAACACATCTGTGTGGTGTATGGAAACTAAAACCAAAAGTAAACAAAAACACATAACAAACTGAAATTAGTATCTGACCAAACCATCTTGTCATAGAATATATTTATGCATTTATTCAACAAATAGTTGTTGAACTCCTAAAATGTTTGATATGGCAGAGATGTATTTAAACCATATTTACTACATGTTAGGGTAACCCCACCCCACAAGCAGTAAGGATTGAAATAAGGCTTTCCCCTCAGCACCACACAATATACTCATGTAACAAATGCACATCTATCCCCTGAATCTATTTTTTAAAGTAAAAATAAAAAACAATTCGCTGAAAAAAATAAGGCTTTCTGAAGGTAGCGATATTTAAACTGTATTCTGAAGGAGTAGTCAGCCATGGGAATATCAGTGTGTTGTGCAGGTTCCAGGTACAGAAAAATATGTGTGTGGAATGCGATAGAAGAAAGTGGTGTGACGTATTGCAGAAACTGAAATTATTTGGTGTAGCTGAAACTAGAGCTTGGTTTGAAGGATCACACAAATTGTAGAAAGCATCAGATCATACAGGCACTTATAATGTGTGATATGGATTTGCCACCAAGAAGCCATTGAAGACTGAGGAACTGGTTGGCAATGGGAAGAGATAAAAACACTTTCAGATTTGCACTAAGTAGGTAGGTCATAAAGTAAAAAACACATGAGTAATTATTTGTTGTACATTTTTTCTTATTAGTTAACAATCTATTCTTACAGAAGTAAATATTTCCTTGAGGAAGTAACTAACTTATTTGTCGGATTCCGATGTTGTTTAACAAAGAAATAGGGAAACAGGTTTCACCTGAGAATCATTTGGTACAGAGAGAGTAAAGAATATTGAGTCCTGAACTGTTTAGCACGAGAACAGTAAAGCATGTTGGTCAGTTCTCAGCCGTCAATGATAGGAAATTAAATGCTAAAGATAGCCACAACAAAGACGCTGATGTCCTTGTCAAGAGTAGTTCCGTTAGATGGGTAGTTATGGAAGTCGAATTGCAATAGATTAAGGAGTATTTGGAGGGTCAGGAACTGAAGTTAAGATGTGAAGACAATTCTTTCAAGACATGGGTATGAAAGGAAATAGAATAGTATAGCTATGGTTTGAGGAGTTCAAGAGATCAAAACAATTTTATTCATTTTATTTTTATATATGTTAGGTTGGAGAAGACTTAAACATGTCTTTAAATCTGATAAAAAGTCATATTGTACTTTTAAAATTGCATTTCTTGTAACTTCAAGCTTTGTATTGTTGGGCCAAAATAAAGACAAATGTTAAGAGTTTCAGATCATTGTATAAGGGACTCTTCGATTGGAAAGAAACTGTAAAGTTTTTTTCAACTGATGTACAAAATCGGACAAAACAATGAAGTAATCCAATGCCTGGTTTTTACTTAATACCTATAGAAAACATGATAAATACATAATGTAAATTTGCTAAAATGTTAAAGTCTCCTTTTTAAATTAGTAGTTTGGATATGTGATGGGAAGAAGGTTAAATAATAAATATTATCTTAAAAATTATAAGTGTTCTGTTGTGAAAATTCATATTAAAATTCTATATTAAGTATAAGGTTGAGGAGAAAGATTCCTGCTAAAGTCTTAGATCATGAAATGATATGTGAGGAAATGTGTGAGAGAAAATCAAGTGAAACAAACATAACCATTTATCTGAAAGATTAATGACCTTGAAGAGAAGTAATGTGTTCTCAGATACAATATGAAGAAACTTAATGCCTAAGAACTTTTAGGAAAAAAATCTAGGAGAGAACTGGAACTTATTTATTTTTTTTTTGAGCCTCTTATCTAATTTTCTGTTTTTTTAATCCCATTCTTTCAAATTGTTTTCAAATTTGTCAGAAAAAGTCCAAGTCTGTATTATATTTGAGATTATTTTAACTAGATTAGATAAAAGAAGGTACTATCTTGACAGTAGTTAACTTTTTGACTTTGAATAACTCTTTTCAAATACTATGACCCCCAGCCCCCCAAACCAGGGTCTCACCAAGCTCTATTTCTTTCTTTTCTATTTCTTTCTATTCTACTTATCTCACTCTTTTCTTTAATAGTACACCCACCACAACTTGGACAACAACTAAAGACAAAGTAAATTAAATAATTATCTTAACTTTTCCTAGATTATGAAATCTTTATCAGGTATTAAAAATTTCTGCCCAGGCCAGGCACAGTGGCTCACGCCTGTAATCCCAGCACTTTGGGGGGCCAAGGCGGGCAGATCACCTGAGTTCGGGAGTTCAAGACCAGCCTGACAAACATGGTGAAACCCCGTCTCCACTAAAAATACAAAAATGAGCCGGGCATGGTGGTGCATGCCTGTAATCCCAGCTACTCAGGAGGCTGAGGCAGGAGAATCACTTGAACCCGGGGGGCAGAGGTTGCAGTGAGCCAAGATCGTGCAACTGCACCCCAACCTGGGCGACAGAGTGAGACTTTGTCTCAAAAAAAAAAAAAAAATATTCTGACCAGAATATTTCCTTTAACCTGTGGTTAATTAATATAAGGACGTATGTAGAGCTTTTATCCCAAACCCTATTTAAATTAATCTGTAGCCATTCTTTAGAGGTGTTTCTCATATCTTGAATTTTAAAACCTAATCATGCAGTCTGCGTACCCAAGCAGAAGAAGCATCAGGGTTTCCTTTTGGAGCAGTTTTGGTCCATTTGGCAGCCTACAAATCCTGACTTAATTATCCTTTCTACCTGAGAGTCAATAGTATGTTCATTCTAAATCTTAAAATGCACCCTGCAATGCATATTGTGACTTTTCTATTCAATGCGTTAACAGGTGGAAGAATTCTGCTGTTCTTGCTATATGTGCTTGAGCCCGAATTCTTAAAATACATGCTGAGAAGTGGCCATATTCTGGGGTTGTAATTTGCGAACTTGTGAAAGGCAAACATATGGTACAGCAAAATTTGTATTAATTTCAAATATTTAAAGGAGAACTTGAAAAGTCTGATGAAGATAACATATTGTGTAGATAAATATATATATTGCAGATAACAGAGAACACAGGTAATATCAGTGGATATAGAATTTGGTAAGCTTCTCTGTCAATTTTTTCGGATTTTCTATGTGCACAAACACATCTTCTGGAAATAATATCAATTACGTATTTTCTTATTCAAAAATAATGTTTTTTGTTGTTGTTTACACTTTACTGGTAAGGCTCTCCGAATTTTTTATTTTGCATAACTGTGGTTCTGCATCTCAAGAGGAAGAGGTTCAATAAAATATAATGTTTTCCAAATCAGTGTATTAGGTGTTTCTATACGATTAAAACGTGTTTAAGTCCAATTTCACTGGAATCTCTTTCCTGAAGTATCTAACAAATTTTTGAAAATTCTTGGCCATTATTTCCTCACATGGCTTTTGTCCCATCATTTCTCCCCTCTACTTTTAAGATTACAGAATATAGTAATTACATGAATATTATAATTTTACCGTTTTTTGTTTTCTATATTTTTATCTCAGTAACTTAGTTTGAGTATTTTCTATTAATTTATTTTTCATACCGTCATTTGTTTGCCTTTTATCGACTAATTTTGCACATCAAAATCTTAAATTATTGTATTGCCTTATTTGTTTCCATTTGATTTTTTTCATATGACTTGAAATTATCCAGCTTATTATCTATATTAAAAGACCAATGAAAGTTATTTTTATATCTATTAAGTAATAATTGTGATCCATATATTCGAACATATCTGTAGCAACTGGGAGACTGTTTCTGTTGTCTGTTTTTCTCATTGTGTCCAGTTTCTTTACAAACCTACTATTTTTTTCCTTTAATGCCAGGCATTGTGTATAAGAAATCACAGAGTCCATATAAGAATGTCTTTTCCTAAATATAAACTATATTGTTTGCTGGTACTTCAATTAAAAGTTCAGCTTAATGAAATCAGAGATTTTCACTGATACAACTCTAGGTTTCAGTCTTCGTATTATCCTCAGAAGATCTGCTTAGCTGCCATATTATGTTGAGCTCCTTGGACTCTCACTCTATGTTGTTAATAACTAGTAAATACCTTGAGAGGGAAAGAATACGCAGTGAATAATTTTGAGATGACTCTAATTAATTTATCTGTATTTCAGGATCTTAGCTTTCTAAGTCCTGATTGCCTCAGTAGAGCCTATTGAATGCAAATAATTATTTTGATATTGTATGTAACTTTTTTGTGGTTTTCGTGGAGAGGGATTTAGTCAGCTGCAAATTACTACTTTGCAATTGGAACCAGAATTCTCCATGTTACTTTCTAAGATATTTATCATGAAGTAAGCAATTTTAGTCTTAACTTTATGAATCTAATTAATATTTAATTTTAGGTTATTTAAGCAATTGTCATCAGAACACTTGATTGGGTCTGCTGGGCTTTATCATGTGTCTATCATGAAACTTGAATATTAACAGTCTTCCCTATGATGGAGTATAGCACTTATTAAAGTTATTTTTTTTGAAACAGTCTATATTATTAATACATGAAGTAACAAAACTTAAGTATCATGGACTTTCCAAAATCATAAAGTTTATTAAAATATCTATTAATGATTAAAGTTATTATAAGTACTGAGTTAATACATTCTACTTTTTTGTTTAATAGTGGGGTGCAGAACATGAAAGTCAATAATTTACTTACAAATTTAATTGTCAGTATTACTTGAAAACCAGGTTTTATATTTTTTTCATAATAAAAATCACCTATTTCTGCAAGGCAACATTTACTATGACATCTCAAGAATTCTATTTAGAATAGTATAATTAAGCTATCTTCCTCAATATCAAATGAACGAAATTAACATTTCATTGCTAATTAATTTTAGAATAGGCATGTAAATAATTTACTATTTCTGTGAGATTTCAGGTTTACTAACTTAAGGTCCTAATCAATACAGACAACATATTTTTAAACCTCTTTTAAAGAACTTTTCCATTTATTTATTATTCCCTAGAGCAAATCACTTATCCCACAATAGATTATTCGACTTTTATTTATTGAAGTTGTATTAAAATATAAAAATAAACACAGATATATTAGTTTTCTTAAGAAAATGATAAAAACCTGTATGTTATTCTAGATAATTGGCTCTTTATAAATCCCTTTATTATTTTGTGTGTGTGTGTGTGTGTGTGTGGTTTATAGGCTGTCATCAACCGGCCATTCAATGACACCTCAAAGTGATTTGGACTCCAGTAGCTCTGAAGAATTCTATCAAGCTGTTCATCATGCTGAGCAAACCTTCAGAAAGATGGAAAGTTATTTGAAGCAGCAGCAACTTTGTGATGTTATCCTGATTGTTGGGAACCGAAAGATACCTGCACATAGGTACAGTAGTCTGCCTCTACTGGAAACATGCATTCACATGTTTAAAAGTGCCAGACTGGCATGCAGATTGCAGAATATTATATGACTACAGAAATAAGGATTCACATTTTTTTAAGTTTTTTGTTGTTGTTGTTGTTTGTTTTGTTTATACTTGTTTTTATTTCTTATTTTTCTTTTGTGGAAAAGTTGAAATGCTACTTTAGGTAATAATTTTTTGAAAAACAAAACAATTATAAAGTGTTCAAAAATAAAACTACTTGTAACTAGGGTTGATAACTATGGAGGAAAAATTCCATTATCTGGGACTGTGGGATTCACAGTCATACTAATTTTAGGCACGCTAATTCAGGAATTGTGCCTAAAATCTGAAATGAAATATGCTATTCCATCAGAAACTAAAGAAAGGTAATCTTGGCTATATATTTATATCAACTAATAAATTAAGGTATTTCATATTGACATTTTTATATTTATTTAAAATTGTGTCATACTGATATTATTTTTAAAGCCATAATTCATTTGAAAGCTAATAGTTTTATTCATTAAAATGATTCCAGAAAAACATGGCTGTATTTCTACCATGATAGAAATATTACAATATGGACGTTGAATTTAAGTCAGTGTCTTGGAATACATGGGGAAGGACATTTGACATTGCATAACTACTGCAGGTGATTTAGAGTTCAATCTGTCAGCTAACTATTGAAAGCATTTTTATATTATTGATTTTATTTTTCAAATATAACTACAAAATTGAGTTACCATTTGCAAGAGAATTCACAGTCATTATTATTGAGAGAATTATTCAATGTCATAATATGTGTGGCAAAACCACAAATTATCCTGAGCTAGCATCTAAATAGCATCTAGTTAATAATTCAATTATATTCTTCAGCGTAAGAGCTATTCTTGAGAGTGTAATTAAATTGACTTCATTTAACTTATAAATTAAATAATATTGTATGTATTTTTAAGAAGACAGGAGGTGTCAACCAACTCAAAAATATATTAACACATCAAATGCTCATTAATTTTTTAAAAAGATGGGTGTTTCCTATAATTTCTTCAATCTTGTAGTCTTTTATTCATCTTAATTCAACATTTTCTTTTTCATTTGAAACATTTTTAACCAATCTGTTGAGCAATTATTCTATATTCATAATATTCTACATTGTTTTCTTTATTACTGTTTATATACATTAGTTATTTTCTAAATTATTTAGTTATGCAAATTGTTTACAATATTCCTATTGGATGAGAAATCAAAATTCTTCTTGGTTTATATTGTTCTAAAACATCTGAGCAATGTATTACCTTTATATGTATTATTCTGAACATATAAATATTTAATATATTTAGAATATATTAAACTAAATACATTATTATCAATCATTGATGTGTTTCTTAAGTAGGATACGAAAAATTAGTTTTTAAAAATCATTACGGCTAACTCAATTCAAATAAAATTTTATATTTTCTTTACACTGTTAAGTGATAAACTTAAGTACATTACTATTTTAAAGAGTTTATTTGAGCAAACAGCAACTCATGATCGGGTAGCACGAGACCACAAGCTGTTCAGAGACCCACCTAAAGAAGACCAGGGGAAAGTTTTCATAAGACGCTTGTGGAAACAAGACAAAGAAAATATTTGATTGGTTAAAGCGGGGCAAGAGCCTAGTTAGAGGTTGGTTGGTGGTTTCTGATTGGTTAAATTACTCTGAGTTGGTTTTTGCTTGGCAAAAACCTGGAGATGTCTCAGCCTAATGACCTCCCAATTAAATTTTTAACACTATAGTTTAAAACTTTAGTACTAATTATTTTACAAGTAATGTACATCTTAGGACTTTAAGTTAAACAAATATTAATAAATACAAATAAATATTGTGTGACGCTTGAACAAGCATTGTTGTGAATCATTGCAGGTATTTGATACTACTTTACTGATACTTTTGCAAGATGAAACAGTTGTAATTAACGCAAAACTAGCTCTTGACTTAAAATGAATAATCATTAGTAATAAACTAATACATTTTAATACTTTTAGTATATTTTGGTTAGTACAACTAAATATTGTCTTTAAGCAAAATGTATGTGGTGTTGGAATCATTACCACTAAAAATTGTGGAGCTATTATAATAATATCAAATAATATAAAAATAAATAATTTTTATGAAGATTTATAGCTCTTTCAGTAAAAGCATTGCTAGCTAACATTATTAGCACTTGCTCAGTATTCATTCATAATTATATATGTTTAATTTATATTAATTATATCATCATTCCAAACTGTCAAATAAATTTTATTTTTAGTTAACATATTGCCCTCATTGAAGGACTCTACATAATATCATGTATTTATGTGCTGGTTATATGGTGTATGTTTTTAACTTGATATTGGTCACAATTATCAATTGTTTTATGAAAGGCCATGTTTATGTAGATAGTTCTGTTTACTGTTAGGCATATTTTTAAGTAGATAAGGTCTGAAAGGCTAATAATATTTCAGATAACCCATTAATATATTTCTGCATGAAAAATAATCAAAATTCTGAACTCATTTGTGCTTTAGGCCTTGAAGGAAATCCTAAGAGGAATATCACTTTCTCACAAATAGCCCAAGATAATTGATCAGCAACAAGTAAACCAAAATATTTGAATGTAAATCCTTGAATTTCAAACATCAAAAATTTTTTATAGGTAGGCTACCTTTAATCTGAGATTCAGATGAGGAAAATTAGGTTGACAGATCAATATTAAAATTGGATATTTGAATTTTCAATTGTAAGAAAATTAGGAGGTGTTCATGGCCTTGTCTGATATAATGTACAGATATGAAATGAAATATGATTGAGCTTGTGAAAGTTTTCTTCCCCCTTAGCCATTATTAAGAGTAAGAGCATTTTGCAGACATACATGGGGAAATCTTATGTAACTAATATACTTAGTCTTGAGTTGGAAATAATGTTATTTATCATTTTATGTTCATCGAAACAGTGTTGAAGGATATACGCCAAAAACTTAACAAATCTTATTCCTGTGAGATAGGGCTCATAATGAGGAAAGAAGGGGTGGCTTTTTTCTGAAATGTATCAACAGATGTATTATTTAAATTTTTACAGCAAGCATGCAATATGTTCATGATCAAATGAAAACTTAAATGAAGAATAAAATGATGATATTTGATAGATAGAAAAGTATCCTATTCTACAGACTAAAACACTTGGCATTTAAAAATGTGTTATATTCTGTTTTCACTGTTTGTACATATTTGACAATAAGTTTAGTTATTTCAAGAAAGTATTTATTATTTTAATGTTCTTTATAGTGCACTAGTATGTAGACAGTTGAGGCTAAAGTGACAATTGAAATGATGCATTTAGTAGCACTTAAACCACATTAAATACATTAAAAAGAAATTACTTACCTAAACAACATATATAAATACCCAAGAGTAGGCAGATAGTACTGCTTCTCTATGTTGATGGAAAATTTATTTACATAGATTATCTTTAATAGTAGAGGAATAACATTTCTTTCATTTTACTAAATCATCCATCCACCTAAATCTCTCACTCAGTTTGATAGTTTAAAATATCTCTGTAGCAACTTCAGAAAAAAATAATTAGTAAAACTGAAAAACTTTTGTTTTCTTGATCACTTGGATATCATTTTAATGTTTTGCTTATGTCTATAGTAGATTGTCAGCAGTCCATGAAGCATCTTTCTTTGCACTAATTAAAACAAACAATTATCAAACATACTCTAGCATTGGCCTATGCCCTGTTGATGATGCATAATGATTATAAAACATAATGTTTTTCCTTGTAGAGTTTTCAATATACTTGAGGAATTAAAGATAAACCATAAGATAATTAAGGAAATTATTATAGTTGCAAATAACTGCAAGGTAGAATATATGGTTCTAATTCCAAGTCAAGACATAGTCAAATAAGGAAATGAGTAGTATATGATAGAGTATTATGAAAGTTTTTCAGAGAAATTGAGTGTGAGGTAAGCCTAGTGGAAAAGACATGGCATACTATTTTAAGTAGAGATACTACTATGGAAAAAATAGAGAACTAAAGAATTTCTGTTTGCAAAAATTACAAGGATAATGAGTTGGTGAAAATAGAGTTTATATTGGAAATAACTGGGAAATTAAACCATAAAAATAGGACAAAGATGATTATGATAGACCTCAGGAGCCAGTAGATAAGTTTTTTACTTGAAACAGTATGTTTAATTAGAAGCTAATGTAGGTTCTTGAGGAGAGGAATAACAACTGAGTCAATGATAATGATGATGATGATGATGATGATAGTTAACACTCACTGCATTGATTATGTTCCAGGCCTTGTTTAAAGTAGTTTGCATTTACAAATCATTTTGTCTTTAAGAAACAGAAAATTCTTAATTTCTCACTTTTCTCTATAATATAGAAAACGGAGGCATGGAAAAAATTTAAAATGTACCCAAGTTATTCACTCAATAATTGGTGACATTAGAACTCAAACCCAGGCAATCTGGGTACTGAAATAATGACTTTAACAACCACAATAGACTGACTATCATAATTTAGAAAGGTAGTTTTGAAATATGGTATGGTTTTAGAAAATGTATAAAGGACAGGCACAGCAGAAACTAATGATCTGAGAAGCTGTTTTGGTTAATCCAGGCATGAAATGAAGACTATATGAACATAAAGGATGAACTGAGCAGTATTTTGAAGGATGATGTCATAAGCCAGATTCCCTCATGTGAGAGCCTGAGCCTGGAATTCAGGTTTTCATGATGGATTTAAAGGCTGACCTCAGAAGAAACAGAAGCAGGCAGAGGAAGGAACAAATCAAGAATGAAGACTTGCTTCCTCTTTATCTCTCCGGAAGCTCTGCATATGACTTCCTGCAGAATGAGTCACACCCCGAAGCAAGGATTTATCCTGATTCTTAGTCAGTGCTTTAAGATCCACCCACAGGTTGAGAGTCAGGAGAGGTGGTGGCAGTTGAAGGATAAAGTGTGAGAAGCAGGAACACATAGACTTCCACAGAATAAGGAGCTCCTGTTAGGCCAAGTCCAGTTCCTGAAAAAAGGAGCATCTGGGTGCTTTAGGTACTAACATCACTGCCCCTGGGACATCGGCAGGCCTCATAAAGAAGGCAAGAACACATTCAAAGAGAAAGATGGATTTTACATCATATTTGATATAGGAAACAAAGTAGAAAGAAACACAATGATACTTTCATAATTTTGACTCTGGAAGTTCATAAATTCGACTCTGGAAGTGCACCAATTAGAAACAAAGAAGTATAAATGAAAGAAAATATCAGTGGGAAAGCTTTGAGTTTAATTTAGTTATAATGAAATGTCCTGGGATATGTGATGAGCAGTTCTACAGGCATTTGAGATACAGGGTTATGTTTACAACCACCGTAAAAATAGTAATTAAGGCAATGCTCAAGAATGATTCTGAAACAGTGAGCATCAAGGCAAAATGTAGAGGCCTGAACAAAACCTATGGCAGTGAGAGGGTTAAAGACTAGACCCAGGAAGAAAAGTCAATGAATCAGAGGTAAGCTGGGATAAGAAGTCTGCACAGCTTTCGCTAAAAAATAGATTTAAAAAAGGAATGGGAGGTTAACAATATCAAACACCATAATAAATTGAAGTGGAACTTAAAAAGTTTAATCGATTTGAAGGAAATAAATTTGTAGTGACCTCAATAAGAGATTTTCTAGTGTGGTTGCATGCATATACTTCTTTATGCATGTTTTACTCCAGGTTCTCTAGCATTAATAGAACTAAATATGTGCATATAAAAATATTAATGTCTGTTATGCATTAAATCCCTCTTCTAAAATTTAATCCATATCTTATGTCACCAAATCTAAATGCAGTATAAACTTTTCTGCAGTTTTTTTTAATGAGTTAGCAGTATTTAGTATGTTATAGTTGACAAAGAAGATATTATGTAATTATTTAAAATTGAATAATATAGGTTACACGATATTTTGCTCTATGGAGATGTGGCCTTGCTGCAACTATATACGTTTTATGCATAAGATTAAGCTGGTTAACTTTATGTTGATATATTTTTTATGCATAGGAAATATATTTATCCTCTAGTTTATTATAGTTTGTTTGTATCATACAATGATTTAATTAATGCTTTTGATAAAACTCACCATCTGACACTAATTTATCTAATTGGTATGTAATAAATATTTGAGGATAACTGTGTCTTAATCATTTTGTCAAATTCTGAGATTATAAAAAGTTGACATTTTAGTTACTAACTGCCCAGAATAAATGCATAGGAAAGTGAGAACTTTAAATATGTCTAACATGTTACCATCCTCAGCATTAATATTAATAAAATATTTAAAGCCATGAATCTTATAAGGCATTTCTTAAATGCATGAATTACATGGTTAAGTCATGTTTTCCAGTTAAAAGAATGTATTTTGTGTTTAAGTTAAATTATACCATGTCCTTCCACTTACCTTATATGTAAGATAAAATACATAGCAGATAAAACTTCAAAATAAATAAATGAAAAAAAATCTCCTAAAAAGTTTTAGATAATAATTTCCTGTATTGATCTAACTTCCTTTCTTTTCTCTTATAGTATTCTTAGGAAAAACGTGCATTCAAATTTTACTGTTGTTTTGCTTATAGATGTAAGCATCACTATAATTCTTTTGACATATCCTCAATTGTTTTGAGCACTTCTTTTTTTTATTATTATACTTTAAGTTTTAGGGTACATGTGCAAAACGTGCAGGTTTCAAATGTCCAACAATGATAGGCTCGATTAAGAAAATGTGGCGCATATACACCATGGAATACTATGCAGCCATAAAAAATGATGAGCATTTCTTTACTCTCTGCAACAAAAGGTATTCCAGGCTGATTTTATGCTTACCCTGCTCCATTCTGCAGTCTGTCCTTTTTCTAAGGAGTCTTTGACAGACATGCACACATACATACATATGCACAAACACAAATAAGAATTCATATATTTTATGTTTAAAACAAATAATTTATATTAATACCTTCAATTTCTTTTTTTTTTTTAAATTTCAACCCATAATACCTTCAATTTCATAGGTTTGATTTTTTTTTAAGTCTTCTCCCTTTCTGTACAGGCACACCCTGAAGATATTGCAGGTTGGATTCTAGACTACCATAATGAAGTGACTATCGCAATTAAGCAAGTCACCAAAATATATATTATATATGTATATTTATATATATATTTGTTTATATTTGTTTCTTAGCAAATATATCAGTTCTATTTACATGATACCATAGGTCTAATAAGTGTGCAGTAGCACTACTTCATCATGTATGTATGTGTACATAGTTATTTAAAAAATGCTTTATTGCTAAAAAATGCTAACAATCATCTGAGCCTTCTGGGAGTGTTAATCTTTTTGCTAGTGATGGGTCTTAACTCGCTGTTGATGGCTTCTGATTGATCAGGGTGGTGGTTGCAGAAGGCTGGAGTATCTGTGGCCATTCTTAAAATAGGATGATAGTGAAATACATTGCAACAATTGATTCTCCTTTCACAATTTTTTTATATACATATAGCATGGGATGCTGTTTGATAGCATTCTACCCACGGTATAACTTCTTTCAAAATTGGAATCAATTTTCTCTTCAACCCTACTGCTGCTCTGTCAATTAAGTTTGTGTAATATTCTTTTTTATTTCTTTTTTTTTTTTTTTGATTCAGCATCTTGCTTTGTGGCCACAGGCTGGGGCACAGTGGTGCGATCTTGGCTCATTGCAATCTCCGCTTCCCAGGTTCAAGCAATTCTCCTGCCTCAGCCACCTGAGTAGCTGGGATTACAGGCACGCGCCACCACGCCCATCTAATTTTTGTATTTTTAGTAGAGACGGGGTTTTGCCATCTTGGCCAGGCTGATCTTGAACTCCTGGCCTCAAGTGATCCACCAGCCACCTCCCAAAAAGTTTAGATTTCAGGCGTGAGCCACAACGCCCCACCAGGTTGTGTAATATTCTAAATCCTTTCTTGTCATTTCAATGATCTTCACAGAATTTTCACCAGGAGTAGACACCATCTCAAGAATCATTTTCTTTGCTCATCTATTAGAAGCAACTCTTCATCCATTCAAATTTGATCATGACATTGCGGCAATTCAGTTACATCTTCAGATTCCACTTCTAATTCTAATTCTTTGGTTAGAGGTTACTTCTAGTAAGGTTACTTCCTCCACTGATGTCTTAAACCCTTCAAAGTCATATATGAGGGTTGGAATCTTCTCTTTTTCCAAACTAGTTGTTATTTTTACTTCCTCCCATGACTTATGAATGTACTTAATGGTATGTAGGAGAGTGAAATTTTCCAGAAAGTTTTAAATTTACTTTGCCAGATGCCTCAAAGGAATCACTATTTACAGCATCTGGAGACTTATTTTTCAAAGAACTAAAAATAAAACTACCATTCAGTCCAGCAATCCAGCTACTGAGTGTCTGTCCAAAGGAAACAAAATCAATATATCAAAAAACCTGTGCTTGTATATTTATTGCACCACTATTCACAATATCAGATATATGGAATCAACCTAATTGTTCATCAATTGATGAGTGGATAAATAAAATATGATATAGATACACATGGAATACTATTCAGCCATTAAAAAAATGAAATCATGTCATTCATGGTCACATGGATGGACTTAGAGGTCATTTTCTTAAGTGAAACAAGCCAGGCACAGAAAGACAAATGTCATATGTCTTCACTCATAAGTAGTTGCTAAAAGCTGTGATTATATGGACATAGAGAGTTGAATAATAGATAATGGAGATCCAGAAGAGTGAGGAGGTGGGAAGGAGAAGGAAGGTGAAAAAATGATTAATGGGTACAATGTACATTATTTAGATGATGGATACCCTAAAAACCCTGTATTGACCATTACACAATCTATACATGTAACAAAATTGCACGTGTATGCAAAAATCTGTACAAATAAAAAGGAAAAAAGAAAAGAAATGAAATATACTTTTTAAAAATAATATGACTTGAAAGTCAAAATTATTTCTTAATGAGCTGTACAATGGATGTGTTAGCAGGCCTAAAGACAACATTAATCTCCTTGTACATCTCTGTCAGAGCTCTTGAGCAACCAGGAACATTGTCAATGAGTAGTAAGTCTCAACTGTGGATATAAAATACTCAGTAAGCCATTCTGCAAACGATGTGCTGTCGTCCAGGCTTTATAGTTCCATTCCTAAAGCACTGGCTGAGTAGAATTAGCGTAATTCTTAAGAGCCCTAGGATTTTCAGAATGGTAATGAGAATTGGCTTCTATTTAAACTCACTGGTGCATTAGTCCCTAAAAAGAGAGTTAGCCTGTCCTTTGAAGCTTAGAAGCCAGTCATTGACTTCTCTCTAACTATGAAAATCCTAGATGACATCTTCTTTATATATATGGTCAACACTGAAAATTTATTGTTTAGTGTAGCCACTTTCATCAATGATCACAGAAGCTGCAGCTTCTGTTAGGTTGGAACAAAATTAATTGATGTTTTTGACATTAAAAGTAATGGCAAAAACCATAATAACTTTTGCACCAACCCACTTGCTGCTTCACTTTGCACTTTTATGTTATGGAGAAGACTTCTTTCCCTAAACTTCATAAACTAACTTCTGCCAACTTTGTACTTTTCTTCTGCAGTTTCGTCACCTCTCTCAGCCTTCATGAAATTGAAGAGAGTTAGGGCCTTACTCTGGATTAGGCTTTGGCTCAAGGAAGTGTTGTGGCAGGTTTCATCTTCTGCCCAGACCACTCACTTTCTCCATTTCAGAAATAAGTCTGTTGTGCTTTCTTATTATTTGAGTGTTCACTAGAGTAGCACTTTTAATTTACTTCAAGACTTTTTCCTTTGCATTCACAACTTGCCTAAGTGTTTGGCAAAAAAGGCCTAGCTTTTGTTCTCATTCCACTTTCTACATGTCTCCCTCGCTAAACTTAATCATTTCTAGCTTTTGATTTAAAGTGAGAGACATGCAACACTTCCATTCATTTGGACACTTAGAGGGCATTGCAGGGTTATTAGTAGGCCTAGTTTTAATATTGTGTCTCAGGGAACAGGGAGACCCATGGAGAAGGGGAGAAATGAGGGGGTGGCCAGTTAGTGAAGCAGTCAGAACTATACTTACTGAGTTTATTGTCTGATATAGGTATAGTTTATGACACCGCCAAACAAGAACAATTGTAACATCAAAGATCACTGCTCACAAATTACTGTAACAGACATAACAATAAAATATTTGAAATATTGCCAGAATTACCAAAATGTGACCAAGATACATGAAGTGAGCCCATGCTGTTGGAAAACTGGTTTTGATGGAATTGCTAGATAATGAGTTGCTATAAGCCTTCAATTATTTTTAAAAAACTGCAGTATCTGCAAAGCACAGTAAAGTGAAATGCAATAAAATAAGGCATGCTTGTATTTGTAATTCCATTTTCCATCAGATAAACCAAATAATTGTATTTTATTTTTAAAGCCATCAAAAAGCTGTGAATATACCAATAACAACCAAACCAAACCAAAACAGAGAACAAATAACAATGCCTAAGAACTAAAGGCCAGCTCCCTTCTTAGCCTGTATTTTTTTTTGTGGGGGTAGTATAGTATCTGTTATGTAATCAAATTTTACTGTAGACAGAAAATGCAGGAGAATGTTATTGATGGTTCAAACAAAAATCAGTCAATGGAAATTGACCAAGAGATGACCCAGTTGTTTAAAGTATTAGAAAAGGGAGAAAAGTAACTATCATAAATAATTCAAAATATTTATAGGAGAAGATAGATAACAATGAATAAAGCAATCAGGAATATAAAGACATTTGAGAAAATTCAAGTGATTAGAAATTAAAGTAAAGCAGAGAGGAAAACAAAAATTGAGTGTAAAATGAATTAAGATTGAACAGTCTATGTAGCATTCTCAGTTGTTGAACCATATATGCAATCTGAGTCCTAGAATGTATCAGAGAGTTAATTTGGTGAAAATATGAGTAATTATTTGCAGATAATTTTCAAAATTTGATTTAAAAGGATCCATGCACTGCTCCAGGAAGCTCAGAAAAACATATGCTGAGTAAATATTAAGTCCCACTTACAGCTAAATAACTAAAACCCTAAGATCAAGAGAAAAAAGTTAAAAACAAAAATAAAGGACATATTACATCAGAAAAACAATTGTAAGAATGAAAGCTAGCTTTCTATAACAAACAAGATGGTCTGGGTGCAGTGTCTCATGCCCATAACCCCAATACTTTTGTAGGCTAAGGCAGGAGGATTACTCAAGGCCAGTAGCTCCAGACCAGCCTGGTCAATATAGCAAGATGCTGTCTACAAAAAATTCAAAAACTAGCTAGGCATGGTAGCATATACTTGTGATCCTAGCTGTTTGAGAGGTAGAGGCAGAAGAATTGCTTGGGCCCAGGAGTTTGAGGTGCCAGTGAGCTATGATTGTGCCACTGGACTCCAGCCTGGGTGACAAAGCAAGAGCCTATTTTTAAAAAAACAAACAAACTGACAAAAAAATTCCAACAGTGGTGCCTAATTGATAATGAAATTGTATATTTCAAGTTCAAAAAAAATCACCCTAGAATTCTATGTCATGTGTAAATAACTTTTAAAAGATACTAGACATGCAACTAAATAAGTCTTCAGATAAATGAAAGCTGTGTATGTTTTTTTATTTTTTGCCATCAGACTTACAGTACAAGAAATAACTAAAGATATTTCTTCCAATATTGATACCAGCTTAAAGCCGACTTCAAAAATGAATGGAGAGCATCAAAAATTGTGAAAAAGGCAGTAAATTTAAATATATTTTATGTTCTTCTTTTAGATTTTTGACTGAGCAGAAGGGGTGTTTTATGTTGCAAATTTCTTACAATATCCATGAAGGTAGAGTGTTATTGGTTAATGTGATCTCTAGACAAATTTAGCAAATATCTGTGCAGGGGCCACATCTGCTGTGCAGCTTGTTTTTGTGTAGACCATAAGCTAAAATTAATTTTAGAATTTTCAATTGATTGAGTTTGTTTTTAAGGAGAATATGCAACAAAGACTGTAGAATTTTCAACATGTAAAATATTTACTATTTGGCTGTTTATGGAAAACAAAATTCTGGTTGCTGCCGTAGAGTAACCACTTTAAACACACATATGTGTGCATACACACATGTGAAAAACATGTAGTCAATATAATGAATGATATGAAATAATTACTGTACAAAGATTAATCCGAAGAACAAATAGAGTAAATTAAAAACAAATATAAATTGGTACAATTAAACCCAAATGTAATTTTGTGAAAAACATAAATTAGACATTTTAGAACCCATGCTAGGTGAGGTGGTTGTGCATGCTGTCCCAGCTACACAGGAGGCTGAGGAAGGCAGATCACTTTGAGCCCTGGGGTTCAAGGCTGCAATGAGCTATGATCATGCCACTGCACAACATCCTAGACAACAGAAAGAGATACTGTCTCTAAAAAAAATGCTGAAATTATAAACAAACAAATAAATGTTAGGCTCTAAGTAAAGTGAAAAAAACTTTGGAAAATTTAAGATGCAAAAGTGAATATATGAAGAAATAACTTGAATAAGCCTTGTGACTTAGTAAATAATGGAAATGATATTAGGAAAGTCTTCTTCAAAATAGCCGAATGTAAATGGTTTTACACATAATTTCTGAAAGATCTTAAAGAAAAAAGTAATTGCTTTATTCTAAAAGTTGTTACACAAAATTAAAGAGTTGTAGCTCCCAGCTCATATTATGAGGCTACTATAGCCTTGATTAAAAATCAGATCAGGAAAATACAAGAAAATAAAATTAGAGATTTATTCATCTCATAATTATACTTGAAAATATCATAATTTTTTTCATTCTAAAATATCATTAACAACATTATAAATTTTAATACACAAATATAAAAATTGTTTGCAAAATTAGAAATTAAAGAGGTTTATCTGACTTAGTAAAGCTTATATTCCAAGTATATTCAGCAGGCATCATACTGAAGGGAGAAACTTTAGATGCATTCCTCTTAATATAGAAAAAAACACAAAATGCCTCTGTGACAGAGGAACTGTTTAACACAGCTGTAAGGAAAGAGAAAGAAGAGGAGTTATACAGAATGAACAGGAATAAGTCAAAAGAATATAACTTGCAGATGATGTAGTCATCTACCTAAATGTAAAAAGAAATAGCAGAATCAAAAGAACTAGCAAACATAATTCACCAGATGTACCAGATAAAGGATGAATCTATGAATTTCTCAATTAATAAATTCTAACAGAAAAACAAACCAACAAAAATAGAATAAAAAGTAGATAGTATACACAAAGCCAACAAAATTGTAACAATATAAGAATCAACCAAGAATCTATATAGCAATTTTCAGGAAAACTTTAAAATTGAAAAGGAAACAAAGTATCCTGAATATAGGGATAGATATTTTATACTTTTAGATGGAATGAATTTATATGAAAATTATGTCAAGTCTCCCCAAATAAAATAAAAAATTAATGCATTTTTAAATCAAAATGCTTTAGGAATTATTTTTAAAACTTAAAAAGTTACTTAAGACTTGAAAGCCTAAAACTCTACTTATGAAAGAATAATATGTTACTAATAGTTAAATTTAAAATATTAAAGAAAGGGATTTGCCTTATTGGTTATAAAGACATATTTCTAATTTAAAAATACTATTTTATTGGCACAAGAACAGGCAAATAAAACATAATAGAAATCTCACCAACAGATCAATATATGTTATGCGTTCAAATTCACGATAGTTTAGGGGGGAAAGTTAGCATGGTGAAAGGTGGGTCATTACATAAAGAAAACTATAATATATTATTTAAGAGGCCTGAAGCCCTAAATGTGAAAGACAAAATATCGTTCAAGTGATAGAAGAAAATGTATGAGAATGCTCTATTACGAAAAGTTAGGGGAAGAGTTTTTGAATCAGTTTTGTAAAGTACAACTCATGAGGCAATAAATAAAATGCATTAATTGATTGATCAATAGATTGATTTTGTGCTCTGTGTTGCATTCTGGTTGACACAGTGATTTTCTGCCTTACATTCACGACCTAAATTAGAACCTGTGACTCTTTCAGGCTTGTTCTGAGTTCAGTCTCCGACTATTTTGCGGCCATGTTTACAAGTGATGTTTGTGAAGCCAAGCAAGAGGAGATCAAAATGGAAGGCATAGACCCCAATGCTCTCTGGGACCTTGTCCAATTTGCATATACAGGTATGGCAAAATAATTATAACATCATTCTGATGTCTTATAAATTTTAGCTCATTTCCTTTAAGTACAGGATTTAACGCTTTTTTAAAAAAAATTCTGTATTCTGTATCTTTTCAGTTGAAAACTAGTAGATCAAAAATCAGACTTTTTGTTGTCACTGAAATTACAAATGTATATATGTATACATATACATTTCGTTCTTCCACAAATGATTTAAACTGGCTTAAATAAATATGTAAATAGTAGAACCTGGGAGAGAAACAGGGTGGATACAAATTATTGAATAATAATTTGTTTATGTCCATGTTTGCTTAGGAAAGAAAAGAGATTCTAATTGTCTTTTCTTTTGGAAATGATGGGTTCAAATAACTTTTTCCCTGGAATGTGTTACTTTAACGTAAAAATTTTCACGGAATAGTTAATGTGGACTTGACAAATCATTTGAAATGGACAATAAAGGTACTTAGAGTTGTGCAAATGACATTTTTCAAGTTTTTTTTTCTGATCTACTATGTTGACATTTTCTATTAATCTTTGTATCGTGTTATTAGTGCATTCAAATAATTTTGCCATTATAGCAAACATTTGTTGAATGTTACTCAATATACAAGTATTAATTGTAGTATTAATTGTATTTGTAGAGAATAAACTAATAAATCTGTGTATTGCCCTCATGAAGCTCACAGACCAAATGAACAGAAGATGTAGATGAGGACATAAATGTGATATAATGCCAAATGTTAAGAGAGTTAGAAGGCATACAACACACAGAGCATTATCAGGGTTTACACTTTTTAATAACTATTTACATTTAGCAAGAAGAGGAGGACATAAAATCTTGTGAAAGAAACCAAGGCAGACAGTATATATTGATGGTTTGTTTTATGTATTATTTCTTATAAATGGAATGTGGTTCATTTTACCTAAATTCTTCATACTGGTGTGAGACGAAGAAAGGCAGGTTCTGGCCTAGTTATCAAAGCAGCAGGAACGTAGTTTAAGGAGTTTTATTTTTTACAGCATTTCTGCTAACAGAAAAACAAGAGGTGACATTGTGAAGATCAGCCACTGGAGTCCAAACACCTGGGAACTAGGAGGACTCTGTCCTCTTTTAGGATTTCACTTATATTGAAGAAGGATTTGCTAACACTAAGATAACACTCAGTAAAAAAAGCTTCCTGAAAAAAAAAAAAAAAAAAGTACACATGCTCTGACTGCTTAATCTCAAAGCAGCAATGTGAGGAAAATACTTAGACATTTTTTGGTCTTAATAGTTTTAAAGTAATATTTTGATAAAGAGAAAATCGTTCTAGACAAAATTATACAGGTAAAGAAGACTTTATTCAAGGATATTGTATTAGGAGAGAGACCCAAACTCAGTCTGAAGTTTACTGAAACGAAGGAAGGGAGGATTTTTAAGTGCCAAGGTCAGAGGGAGAGCACAGGCCAATCTGTGTTTGTTAATTGGTTTTACTAAAGAAAAAGTAAACTTTCTCATCTTTGCGAGAGGATAGTTTTACAACTTGAAGCAATTTGTTCACCCAAGTTAGTCTTCTACTCTCCTCCAGAAACTGGGGCATAGGGGAGCTATTTCCCTTGATGTTTACATTTCAAAGATACAATGTTCAGGCCTTTGGGGGGAAAAAAAAAAGTTACGGGTTGTAAAACTAGCAAACTAGCAAGAGGTTTTTAAAAAGACTTAACATCTCAAAGGATTAGAGAAAAAATTACAATTCCATGTTTTTTTTTTTTAATGAGTAGTCTGAAAAAAGAGGGGTGAGCATAGAGTCAGGAAGAATTCTATCCAAAGTTTAGTGAAACTGAGGCAAATTTTAAGACCATCTTGGTCAATTTCAATTTGCATACAACCTGAAACAGTCATATGGAGGAATATTTACCTCTGAGCCAAGAGGTAGCCAGGATAATTACGTTATTGTTTCCTGGAAAGGGAAGAATCATGAAGCTAACATTTTAGGAATCCTTCCAGCAACTAAAAGACAGAGATCTAACAACCTAACACTTCCAGGCTCCATGGTCTGGCAGTCTTGCATTTCCTGTGTGCAAAACTAGGTCAAAAGATACTCAGCATCCTGCTGTACAAAGTTGGAAGGTGTTTCAAAGCTCCCTGCTGAAATAATGACCCAGATTTGGCTCTGCTTGTAGAGGGCGGACAGGATACAAAAATGCCTCTCAGCTGCCACTGCCACTTTGGCCTGTGCTCCAATACCTTAAATTTTTAGTTGTGAGTTTACAGAAATGTGTTAGATGAGGAAAATATTTATCAGGTATTATTGGAAAAATTGCAGGCATGACATAAGGCAAGTATCTTGCTTTTTGTCATATACAATGTAACAAATTATAACAATAGAAAAGAACAAGTGATCAGTTGTATAGAAAGGGAAGCATAGGAGGTAACTGTACTATCTACCTAACTCACCAGCTGACAGATATCTAAGACTTTTCTTTAAAGAAAGCTAAAAATAAATATATTCCAGAAAACAGGAAAAAAAATGAATGAGTGGGAATAGATGTAAAAGTCCAGCCATTTGATAATATGTATTTTTTTTTTTTAATTTTAAGGTTTGAGAGGCTTTGGTGAAACTAAGGAGGATCAACTATGTCAATGATTGATAGTTAATTATTAGCTGTAGAAGCAATGTGTTTAATAGAGATAGGTCAGAGTGCTTTCAAATGATTTAAACATATAACATTTTATGAACTCTGAAAAATGTGTAAGATTTGAAGGAACCAGATGTAGGTAATTTATCTTATTAAGTTAGAAATTAAGGACAAAGTACATGGATAAAGAAGGCTTAGAATGAATGTTTGAGATAAGCTTCAATGATTATAGTTTATAATCTTTGAAAAAATAACTTTTATAGAATTTTATATAGTAAAAAATTGTACATATTAAGATATGGGAAACACTCTCCATGTTGAACTCATCCAACATTTGTTACCTGTAGTCCAAAAAATTAGATGAGAAGCAATGAGATCAGGTTTTTCAGAGAAATTCAGTAAGAACTAAAGCAAACATGTAGACTTACATTATTATTATTATTATTATTATTTGGTAACTGGTAAGAATGGCCTTGGTATCATTGAGAGACAGCAATGGTGATAACAGTTCACAAGAAGTTTCTTAAAAGAAAAAAATATGTAAAGGTTAATACTTAGCAATATGTACAACAGAGTAAAAACCCAGTAATGTCTTTGTGACAAAAGAATTTAAAAAAATAATAATTCTTGCAACTATTTAGGATAATGATGAGGTTGTGAAAAAATGATGACTACTTTTAAGGTATGAAGTTAGTTTCTTTACTTAAAATAAACGACAACATAAGTTCAGTTTTTCCCACATTGTAACAGCACAGAAATGGAAAGAAAATTTACACTGGTGTTAGAGAAATAATTATAACTTAATATGAAGTTCATGTCATTTTTCTAAATTCTTAATTAGCAGTATAAGCAATTTCAATTTTTCTTTTAAGACTTTCAATTGGGTTTTCTTCACTGTTTTCTACTAGAAAATCTGCTTGTGATCTTAGCCATTTGTAAAGAGAGTGTGTTATAAAGTAGTGCCGTTTTATAATTGGTATCTTAAGTTGTAAAGAAAATACTTAGTTGGAATTCAGATTGTATATCAGTACTTATAAAATTGTATATCAGTTTTTCAAAATCAAATCATAATTCTGCTAACAATATTTGAGCACTTATGGCATGAAGAGGGTCACGGTGTATATTAGAAAAAGACACAATGTAAACTATATATGTCGATGCTCCTTAGCTTACAATGGATTTATCTGGATGTGCTATCCTCGTTGTAAATCAAGGAATATAGCGAATGCATATCACTTTCATGCCATCATAATGACCAAAAATTGAAAGTCAAATCCTGATAAGTCAGGAACCATCTGTATAGAAAACTGATAGAATACAGCTTAAAATGTCATAAGCCTTTAAACAAATTTGGCAACGCACAGGATTATGTGGAGCAGGGCATAATGCAAAAGCCCTTTACTTTTGTTTTTAAAAGTAGTAAAATCTATGTATCACTATCTACTTGTTGGCATTCTCAGTTTAGATGTGTCAAATTGACTTAAAAACAGTTTCGTGAGCATTTTCCTGTACCTAATGCAGCTCCTATTCTGTACTTCCATTTTTCTATTAGTTTGAATAGAAATGAAAACTGAGATATTATCATTTAATCTTCAATAAGCCTTTGATTTGGCAGGGTGAAGTTAAAGTTATTCAGGAGTTATTGCATGCGTCATCCTCAGAAGCATGAGGTCAGAGATGAAAAGATAATTAGGTCATACAATATCTTATCACTCTATGTTCAAATCACCTCGAGAAGTAGCAATGTCTAGAACTTCAGATATTCCATCCTGAACATTATACATTTTACAGACGAACGTTTTCTATGCTAAGCATGTGCAAAGCAGAAACACCAAAATATTTTTTGAAAATTACATATTTCATATTTCAAATAAGCATTTGTAAAATCTTCTTGAGATAGATCACAAATGTGTTGGTCTGTTTTAAATTAATATGAGGACACAGTTATATATTCAAAGCCTCTAAATTTCTTAATGCTGCCCAATCAATGAGGTAAAAGTAACCTTGAAATGATCAATAGTAAGCTGTTGACTCTGTTACTGGAATAGGAACATCAGAACTTAAATTGACTGGTATTGTCTTTACCAGATTTGTGTACTTTTATAGGGTATCAGTTATGATACGAGTTCCTTGAAGTGACTCATCGCTGTCTTGCTCTCAAAATAGTTTGAGTAGCTTAAACTGACTATCATATTGCTATATAGTGGTTCAGTGCAGGTTTGGTTCATAGTTTCTCCCCATCTAATGCTGGTTCCCTTTAGGTGTCAATGGTGCCTCACAATTTAAGCATATTAATGCCTAATGGTCTTTGTCCTGTGAATGCATTGAGCAACTCTCAAGTTTTACTATATGTATGTCTACTATGTACTATGCCTTATGATGGGGTCTGAAAAACAATATGCTGAATTATACATGTTCCTTACCTTTAAGGGTCTTCAAATTTAGCACTAAATACAACTTTTTGTTATCTTATTTTGGTTTAAACATTTTTGTTTTATATATATATCAGATATATAATAAATATATATATCAAATATATATAAATATATATATCATATATATCAAATATATATATCAAATATAAATATATATATCAAATATATAAAAATATATATATCAAATAAATATATAAATATATATATCAAATATATATAAATATATATAAATATATATCAAATATATATAAATATATATCAAATAAATATATAAATATATATCAAATATATAAATATCAAATATATATATAAATATATATCAAATATATATAAATATATATATCAAATATATATAAATATATCAAATATATATATAAATATATATATGCTAGTATTTTCTCATTTAAAAATGGAGCAAAACAATTTTTGATAACAGCAAATATTGATTTTGAATCCACTTGCACACACATTAGGATTTCAATCACAGCCAAAAATGGATGCTCACATTTTGAAAGGAAAAGAAAAACTATAATATATTTGGAAAGGATGCACTGAGGTTCACTATATTTTAAAGTTGCTCTTAGACTGATAGAAATTTCCTCCTAGTTTATCTCTTACATAGTCTCTACTATCCTGACATACTTGAAAATACACTGTGTTCATTGATGTGTAAGAAAATAGAGTTCTAACAAATATGGGAGATGGAATTGCAGAGTTACTAACAAAGTGTCAGGTCCTGTAGAGAACTGATAAGCACAAGGTTTAAATAAAGGAAGCTGTCAATCTAGTAGTGATATTAAGAAGAGGGTTAGGAAATTAAACTGCCAAATGGCAGACCTTTAATCATATTGAAGTGTTAACTTCCTTGTAGAAAAAGTTTGTGTGCCACTGAAGTTAATTAAAGTCTTTGTACCTGCTAAGAAATGTTAAGATAGCTTCTGCTTACTGCCAAACATTTGAATGAAATAAATATACACACATAGGGGCTGAGATGTTTAATGTCCTGCTTTAATATTAAAAAGTGTATATCAGCCTGGAGCTTACCATTTAAACTCTCTTCAGAATTTTTATTGTAATTAGAAGTAAATTATTGTTTCATTTTTATTACTGGTTTAATTCAAGTGGCATGAATTATGCAAGCACATTAGTACATTATTAGTTTTAAACTTAAGGCTTTTACTAGATGGAAAATTCTATTCTTGATTTAAGAGACTGAGCCTTCAAAGACTGGTTTTATGTATTATTATTGCCCATTATTTAAAAGTGTTGATTTAAGCAATTTTCAGAGGGTGTTTAAACAACCTGTATATTCAGTAACAAAATAAAAGTAATAAAAATAAAATCAATAATATAATTTTTATATCACAATTAAATCCTTACCTTTCCATCATTTTAGCAAGAAACCTTGTTTCATTTATGCATATATATGTTTAAAATGTGTGTGTGTGTGTGTGTAAAACATTTAGTACTATCGTATGAAACTAATTTGGGAAAAGTATTGTGCCAAAATAGACAATAAAAACTATTTCAATTTTGTGACTGTTATGAAGCTTTTTGTTGTTGTTATTGAACAGTGTTTTGGCTTTGTGCCATGGGGCTTAATAGAGAGACTGCAAAAGAAATAGCTAGGTGACTTTTAATATTTAGGAGTAAGGGTTATGTATCTACCACAGTGTAAGTCACAGTTATTTTCTGGGTTTTGAAGTAAGAAAAATCTCTTGAGTCCCATAATCAACTTTACTTCCTTAAACAATCTGTTTGGATTTTATTTTATTGTTGCTCTCAGTCTTATAATTGTTTTCATTTTCCTTTACTTTGTGAGAAGCTAAGAATTGAATCATTGAATTGAATTCAATCACCATTTTTCCAAGTGTTCAGGGTACCTGCTATGTATTTTCCTACTTTAATCATAAGGTTCACTATATTTTCTTAGGCTTTTTCCACCTGTACTTTCAAAATACTTATACACTTTATTCCTTTGTATTTGTAAGTGTAGTGTGTAGAACTTAACACTAGATATCCAGGACTTATTTTGGCCTTCACTTGAATTGATATGCAACTACCACTCAGTGTGATGTGGGCAGCCCAGTGTTCATTCTGATCCTTGGACATTTATTCTAATTGGCATGCACCTATTTCTTGCTTCTCATTAAGTACTTGAAATATCTCTTGGGCTTCTCCATTTTACAGTTATGGATCTTGGTCAAATTACTTAACTTTATGAAGTCTTAATATTCCTTAAATGTAAAAAGGGAAAATAATAGTCTTTAAGTGAGAGGGTTATTTTAAGGAGCAAACTTATAAAATTAAGCTAGTTTAGCATAAAGTTTAGCATGCAGCAAACACTCAATTATGATGATTATTCATAATGTGTGATTTTATAAGTTTTTTCAAATCTTTTTCACAATCCTTCATAAGAATAAAAGTAACATCTGAGAACTGGGAGAGGATATTCACTTTGCTTATCAATCATTTATTAATTTTGAGTCCAATTTATTATATGTTTCAGCATTATATGTTTTTTAATTCAGATGTATGATTTGGTATACATGTATAATGGTGAATTTTTTAAACAACTAGCTTGTAATTTTGCTACCTTGTGTATTTGAGATGGATTTTTATTGTATATTCATGATTTTATCATATTTTATCTTAATTGGTCCTTACAGCAACATTCTGAGATAGGTAGGTAGTCAATATCATATTGTCAGATACAGAAATGGCATCTTAGCTTACATGTCAACAAAATTATTATAAGATGTAAAATCATGGCCTAATTTTTCCATGGACATTTTGACATCTTTTCTACTAGATCTAGAGTTATTCAACATTCTGTCTGCTTAATATGAGAGGCAGCGCTGCTCATAATTACTTATGTCATTGTCACATTGAGTGAAAAGCATGACCTTCCATTGACGTAGTAACAACTGGCATCATATATTTTTTTCTTACAATTAATATTGTTGTACATCAAATGAGTAGCCTGAGGAAGTTACATAGATGATACCCAAATGGAGAATTGTCATTGATGCTTCTTAGCACTATTTAAAATGTTATCCTCAGACTTGCGCATTCATAATTTCATAATTTTAAGTCTAATTTTATTTTATTATATTAATCTGAAGAAGAATCATAAAAATATTACAACATTCAATTATTAACATTTTCAAGAACTTTCCATGCAAATCTTAGCTATGCCTCACAGTATTCAACTTTATCTTACAAGTGAATCAACTAAAGCACCAATTTCCTAAATGTTTTTAAATAATAACCATCTTTGAAAACATTATTTTACTTCAGTTTTGACTATTTGTTAATATCTTCCATTTAAAATTTGGTAGAGATGATATGATTTGCTGATAGTATGGGGGGAAAACAAGCAAATATAAACAAGCAAAACAACCCTGTCATTTCACCCTTCTTAAGACTTCTGTAAATTACCACTTAGCCATTTTTAATGAAGAGTCCATTTTCCCATTATGCTTGGGAAAGGACACTTATAATGGGAACACGAAGCACTTTAATTTTAAACACTTTGTCTCCCTCAGTTGAAGGATGCTAAGTGCAATCCAACCAGGAAAACACATGTTAGCTGGAAGTAAACTGCATGCTGAAGATGTTCTGAAGGAATACCTTGATCACTGATTCCTTTGGATTGTGAACTTGAGTTTTCATCTCTGCATATTATGGCTATTATTTCACTCCTGTCACAATACTCAACCAGAGAAAATGTCCTAGCCAAATGGCACTTACATGAGTCTGATGAACCTGTCCTACCCCATATTTTCTTCTCTAAAGGAATGTTTAGGTGTGGTGAGAGGAGAGGATAATGCAGAATAAAAGTTAATAAAGAAATTCTAAAGACTGGTAATGGGATTCAGTCTTACAAGAAAAAATGTAAAAACTATTTTGCATTTGTCTAAAATATAAGTTTATTCCTGATAGATCCATGCCTGAAAAACGTAAATACTACTTGGAAACATATGCCATTGATTATTTTCATGTGTTTTCCTGGGCTATGCACTCTGCTTTCTGATTAATGAGCATTTTTGATTAACTGACAAATTTGACTAATTCAAAAACGATGTAATAGGACATTTTTGAATCATTTTTACAAATTACTATTTTATTTGCCAGATTCAGTTAAACAAAACATATTTAGAACCTTGTAATCAAACCCCCTTGCTTACATTTATTTAACTTAAGTTTTCCACATCTTAAGATGGCTTCAAAGTGCACTATCCAAGAGGGGAAATAACAGTCACATAATCTATGACATAACTCAATGTGCTCGGATAGTGTTTTCAGAAAGAATTGCATACTTATCAGAAATTCTGTATCTGTATGCTCCCTCGGCAGCACTCTGTAACTATTGCACTTACAGTTCACTGGGGCTAAGAAATATTGATTTTAAATATGGATTATGAGATGTGAAGATTTCAAGAAAGGCATGAATGTTCGCAGTCAGAAAATAAAAGTGGTGATCTTTAAAAATGACCCATAATGGTAGCAGCAAGGTAAGGAGGTAACATATGAAGCATATTTTGGAAACCAAGATAGAGCATCATAAAAAATTACCTGTTAAACAAAAATACAAAATCTTTGTCAACACAGAACCTCAAGAATAAAGAGGAAGTGGGTATGGTGGCCTCACAGAGGGTAGGATGGTAGAACTCCCAATCTGGGCAGAATGTGAGATAAACTATTAAAACTGCCAACATTTTTCTTTCCACATCAAATCCACCAAAGTCACTGAATAAAATATTTAAGCATCTCAAGACGGAAGAGCTCTGCAGATAACTTCAGTATAACCTGGTTCTACAGAAACATGTTCCTACTAACTTGCGAAAATCTGGCCAGTAGAAGTTGCCTTCTTTTATACTTACCACTTTCTATCTCCCTTCTAGTTTCCTGATGATGTAGAATATAAAGGAAAGAAAAAATAAGCCACTTGCATAAGCCAAGTTATGGCTTTTGTCTTAGTTTTATTTCTAAATATCCATGGTGTATAAGGCTTTGTAAGTCAAAAAATACTGGGAAAGGCATTCAAATTCAAATCAAAACAATTATGGTGTAATTTTCACAATAAGTAATGTCTTAAAACTCTGTTTGTATTCATAGAAATGACATACCAATTAGTTTTTCTTCTCAGTCAACAAGACAAAGAGGTAAGCATAATCAGTTATATTATAAACTAAAGGCAAACATTTTCCTCACCATAAACACAGGTGTTGATATATTAAAATCTGAGACAAATATTTCATTTGAGTATTCAAAATATTTTAAATATACATATAACACTATACAAGCTGCTTTAGACATCTTCAGTATTTAGCCAAAAGTGGATATAACAACGAATTATAGAACTGTTGCTTCTGTGGGCTGATTCAAGTTCAAATTATTTTGTCCAGGAGCACAAGTCTCTAATAATTTCATGCATTAAGCAACAGAATATTTAAATCTGAAAATCAAACTCAACTGGGTTCAAGGTACAATTATTTTAAAGGGAATTGAATTATCTCTGCCGAATTCAAGAGTATATGTTCTACATAAAGGTATCCTAAATTAAAATAATGACCAAAAGAACATATCTGTGATAAGTCTGGTGCTTAGATAGACAAATTATGTTACTTAAGTGAAGATTTAAATAACTTCTACGACCATGAGTTAATCATTATTTTTTCACTGTTCTTACAATCAAAATTTCCTCGAGTGTTGCATGACATGCTGTTTTAGGTTAAACTCCATGGAAATTAGTGAGAGTGGAAAAAATCTATGGAGTTGATTAGGGACAGAGTCATAAACTATAATAAATTTGAAGATAAGACATGTTCTCTATTGTTAAAGTTGAGGGAGCTTAACACCTGTGCATCGATGTGAGTCAAGGGAATGTTGCTTTTACTCTGAAAACAATTCCTTGTTCTCTTCAAATGATGGATATGTAATTAGAGTAGCTTTAAAGAAATTTAAGTAAATTTGAGCTACTGGCATGTTTAATTCTTACCTATCATGCAGTGGACTTTTATAGGTATAAGGTGGACAGAAATAGAACGAATAATGACTTGTATTGTCGCAGCTACTTTTGAACTGCTCTTTGCATAGCCTTTTCTGACTTTTCTAACAGTTTCTCTTGAACTCTGAGATGTAATTAGTACTCAAAAAACATAACCATGTCTTTCTTGTGGGTGGAAGGCATGTATGACATGGTTTACAGATTAATTAGCTCTAGGATTATAGAATTTCATGGGTAGAATTTGTATTCTGTTTTCTAAAATCATTTTGCGGTAATTTTTAGAAGACAACTAGGATTTTCTCTCTGACAAGAGAGAGAGGAGGCCAGAGTGCCAATAAAGAGGTACAAATTTGCAATAAGGAATAATTTTGACAGCAAAATTCTAAATTGCAGTAAAATTTAAATGTCATTGTTAACTGTTAAAAATATGTGTAAATTGCCTAAACTAAAATCCCTTTAACTCTCCTTCCTTTTTTGAAACATTTATTCAAAAAATCCTGTGAAATGACTGATATAAATAATTGAATACACCAATAAATGATGGAGAATAGACAAATTTCCCACATAGAAGAATTCAAAAGTATTTATGCCAGTTATTCCACCGTCATGGAGATAGAGTACAACTCCCCCCTCCGTAAGTGTAGGCTGTGCATAGGGACTTTCTTCCAGAGAGTACAGTATGTAAAGGTACTAAAGAATAACATTACAGTGGAGAAACCTGACATACACTACCTCCGCACGTGATCAAGATGACTATCACCAGTGATAAGTCACGTTGATAATGTTTCTTAAATAGCATGGGATGAGACAGAAACTTCATTCATAACCCCAGTCTAATAATCAGCAAAATATCAATCGAAGAACATTTTATGAAATATTAAATTAGTACTCCTCAAAACTGTCAAAATCATTAAAAAAAGGAAAGTCTGAAAACTTCCGCAGCCTAGAGTTGCCTAAAGAGACAGAATGAGTAAATGAGATGTACTATTCTGAATGCGATCCTGGAACAGAAAAAGGACATTAGGTAAGAAAAGAAAAAAAAATCTAAGGAATGTAAAGGAAGTACACATTTTAGTTAATAATAATGTAACAATATTTGTTCATTAATATAACACGTATATCATACGAATGTAAGATGTTAATAATGGGGGAAACAGTTATATGTCATATGGAAAATCGCTGTACTAGCTTTGCAATTTTCTGTAAATCTAGAAGTATTTTCATATAAAACTATATTTTTAAAATACCTATGAGTTACTAAAAATGTCAATTTTGAGGTTTGAATTTCTAGAGTGACATTGATATTGTTTCTTCTTCAATTTAACAGAATGATGATAGATAAAATTTGATTTACGTTGTGAATTTTATAGGCAGTTTTTGCACTTTTCTGGTAGAATGCACATTCCTAAAACAATACCTTTGGAAATATACATTTTCAATATAACAGACTTTGTAGATGAAAGATGGATACTCTGTGCATTTGTTAATAGGGGATGATGTGTCTAATAAGAAATAGAACCACATTGATACATATTCTTCTATAAACTTCACTTTTTCCTTCCCATTCTATTTTACATATTTTTATGTCAATGCAGTATAAATTCAAATATCTTATAGAAAAACAGAGTTTAAGTCTACTCATACATATTTGGAAGATTTAGTGGCCTTAGCATTTACTTAAGATGTGATTGTAGATAAATGTAGCACACCTTATTGGAACCCTATTTAAAAAGTATTCCCCGTTTAGTCCCCCACTTGAATCAGAGGAGGGTGACTCCAATTTTATAAGCAGTTTATAGGATCAAAACCAATTATTTGTGTTTCACCCCTTTCATAATGATAGAGTTAGGCATGATTATGTGACACAATTTTTGCCAAGGCAGCATGGAGAAAAATTTCTGGGGATTCTTTGGTAAAAGTTTCTTCACTGATGTAAGAGATATATACATAAAGAAATAGTTACTCTTCTGCTACGTGCTTTCCTGTCTGAATCTGAAACCTGAAACTATGGCAACTATGAGAGAAATTGAGGAAGTCACTTGAGATGCCTGTTTCCTTATGATGTGTTGACCGTCTCATTAATTAACTCTGGAGACAAAGTTCCTCTGGACTTGCTAAGAGAGATTATAAACATTTCATTTTTTTTTGAAAACAATCTCTAAAAGTTGTCTTTTGTTAGAAACATTGACTTCTTACGTATATCAAGTTTAATATGGCTATCATGTATTTTTAAGCCAGTTTTCTATGGCATCTAACTAAAAACATGTAGGTTTTCCCTTTTAGTAAGCTTATTTGAGAACGTTATGCCTTGAAATCAACTGTGAATGAAAATGTAGAATTACTTTTCTTTCCATTAGCAGTTTTCATGCTTTTTTAAAAGTTAACTTTTAAGTCAAATACTTGGCTGCTTTTTGCCTTTTTACATCTAGGTCTGGCCGAGAAATACAGCATGCATGAGGTAGCTTAATTTGTGTGCATTGAAGCTTGACACTGGCTAATATTCCATTTGTGACTTCTGGCTTTAACAAATGGATTCTTTCATTGGATATAGTCCAAGTTTTAGAAAATAAAATATTAAAACTCTTTGAGAAAAACAATGGTTATAATACTTAACCTCCAAAGCTAGCAATAAATAAAAATATTATTCTACATATATCTTGTGAAAATTCTTTTTTTTTCTTTTTTGGGGAAATAATTGAGAGATGATCTGAAAAAAAATCTGTCTAAATTATTATGAAGTGTATTATTATCAAGGGTTTGAATTTAGACTGAATAAATATGTTTCAAGAAAATGTCGTAAAAACCCTGTAAGTTATTACATTGACATACTGCCTCTGGATCTTTTTTCAAGTGTTGATCTGGGAAGTAAAAATACACACACATATAAAGAAATATAGTAATATACTTTTCCAATATAAATGGTCAATTATACACCATTTGCCTGAACACCCAAGCCAAACTATGTGGAATCCTCTGGGATTTTATTCCTCACTGTCCACATCCAATATTCACTTTATCAGTCAGAGTCCCAGCAGAAAACAAATGAAACACTGAAAGAGCTTAAAGGAAGAGAGTATAATAGAGATATCAACAGGGTTCAGAATGTTCACAAGGGGTGATGGAAACACACAAGAATTAGCCACAGTGACGGAATAGGAAGAAGATCTTCACACACACACACACACACACACACACACACACACACACACACACAACACACACACACAATTTTGTATGGCAGGCTCAAGTTTTTAAGATATTAAAAATATGTTTTTCATATGATAAGTTGGTACAAAAGTAATTGCAATTTTCCCATTGAAAGTAATGACAAAACCCACAATTACTTTTGTACCAACCTAATAATACCATATGTGACTTGTCATGACTATAATCATGTTTTATATATTGCAAACATTCAGAAAAATTATTGGCCAGGCATGGTAGCTCATGCCTGTAAATCACAACAATTTGGGAGTCCAGAGCAAGAGGATGGCTTGGGGCCAGGAGTTCTAGACTAGCCTGGGCAACATAGCAACACCTAATTGCTACAAAAATAAAAATAAATAGCTGAACCTAGTGGTGCATGCCTGTAATCTCACCTACGTGGGAGGCTGAGGCAAGAGGATAACTTGAGCCCAGGAGTTCAAGCATGCAGTGAGCTAGGATCATGCCACTGCCCTTCAGCCCAGATGACAGAATAAGACCTTGTCTCAAAAAGAAAAAAAAGGAGAACAAAGAAGAAAAAAAATCACAATCCTCAATGTAAATTATAATATCATATATTTGTTTGATTTTTCTTTGCATTTAAGCACTCAGAAAATGTTTCTATCTACTTGTCAACTCAAATCATTTATTAAATATATTTTGAAAATACAGTTGAGTATTCTTTTTTAAAGCTTTATTGATGAATAATCAAGATATAATAAACTGCACATATACAAAATGTATAATTTGATAAGTTTGGCTTATGTATATACTCACCACAAAGTAATGAATATATCTATAATCGTCAAATGTTTTCTCATGTCCTTTTGCAATCTATCTTGTTGTTCTTCCTTATCCCCACCTAGTACATAAGCATCAGTGATCTGACTCCTTACATACCAGATTTTTTGGGATTTTCAAGAATTTTGAAGTTAATCATAGAGTCTGTGTTTATTTTCTGTCTGGTTTCTTTCACTCAGCCTAATTATCTTGCACTCAACATAAGTAACCATGGTATTTCATAATCAATAATTATTTTATTTTTATTATTATGAAGTATTCCATTGAATAAGCATACTCTAATTTTGTTTATTTATTTACCTGTCATGTAACATTTTAGTTCTTTCCAGTTCTTGGCCATTGCAAAATAAATTTTCTGCAAACATTCATGTACAGACTTTGTATCAGCATATTCTTCCTTTACTCTTGAGCAAACATCTAGGAGCAGAATGGCTGAATCATAGGAGAGATAAAACTGCAGAATTGTTTTCTAAAGTAGTTGTACCATTTCACATTTCCACAAGCAGTTCTAATAGAGGTGTTGTGGCATGTCATTGTGTTTGTAATGTGCATTTTCTGAAGCACTGATAATATTGAGCATTTTTTGTTCATATATTTTCTTTTGTGGGATGTCTGTATAAATCATTTGCCCAGTTTTTTAAAAATTTAGTTCGAAAATTCTTTATATATTCCGTATATAATATTTTATCAGATATGATTTGCAAACTTTTTTCCTGGTTTATGGTTCATCTTTTTATTCCTTTAATAATATATCTTACAGTGGCTTTTTTTTTTTCTTTCTTTTAACTAGAGGCAGGGTCTCATTCTGTCACTCAGGCTGGAGTGCAGTGGCATGATCTTAGCTCAGTCTTGCAGGGAATTATATGAAGTCTAGTTTCTCCATTTGTTCTTTGAGAAATTATGTTTTTGATATTTTATCAAATAAATTTTTAATTAACAAAGTTTGGTTATGGAAGTTTTATAGCTGCCGGGTGCAGTGGCTCACGCATGTAATCCCAGCACTTTGGGAGGCCAAGACAGGTCAGGAGTTTGAGACCAGCCTGGCCAACATGGTGAAACCCCGTCTGTTCTAAACATACAAAAAATTAGCTGGGCGTGGTGGCGGGTGACTGTAATCCCAGCTACCTGGGAGGCTGAGGCAGGAGAATCACTTGAACCCGGGAGGTGGAGGTTGCAGTGATCCAAGATGGCGCCACTGCACTCCAGCCTGGGCGACAAAGTGAGACTCCATCTGAAAAAAAAAAAAAAAAAAAAAAAAAGAAGTTTTATAGTTTAATGTTTGAATTTAGCTTCGTGATCCATTTTGAGTAAATTTTGTATATCATTTGGGGTATACATCAAATACAAGTTTTTGTACACATATCTGACTCATTCAAAGACAATCTTTTCTCAAATGACTTTTGTGCCTTTGCATGAACTTTGTAATCAGTCTTAAAATCAGGTAGTGCTCTTATTCTCACTTTGTTATTTTTCAGAATTGTTTGGATTATATAGGTCCGTGTATTTCCATATGAATTTTATAATCAGTTTTGCAATTTTCACAGAAAGTCTACTGGGATTCTAAATGTTATTGTAGTACATCTATAGATTAATTTGGTGTGAAATGAAATCTTAGCAATATTGATCTTTGAGCTTCTAAGCACAGCATGTCTCTACATTCCCCTACCATCTCAGGACTTCTGATTAGAATGCTATGTTGGGTGATCCCCAAGACTAACGCCCCGTTCAGTGATGAACTGGGATACTTCACAAGACTCAGCATGTAGTTTTACAAATGGCTATGAATTGTTACGGCAAAATAATACATAACACAATCAGAAAAGGTAAACTACCTATGGGGCGAAGGCCAAATGAAACCAGGTACAGACTTCCAAGGGTTCCCTTCCAGTGGAGTCCCACTGAAGATACTTAATTTTACCTTCAATAAGTTGTGACAAAGTGTGTGAAATGTCAACCAAGGAAGCTCACTAGAGATTCAGTGCCTGGAGTTTTATTAGGTGTTGATCGCATAGGCCTGCATCTAACACAGAACAAAATTTCAGACTCCCAGAAGGGAAAAAAGGTGTTGCTCATATACCATATTGTTTGTACAGTTTAGGCACAGTGAGTCGATTTTATCAGTTAATGATGAGAATCCTCTTGAAATCTAAGTTCTCAAATACCAGCTGGAACAAACCTTGAAAGCAGGCCTTTCAGAGGATGGTAGTAGTTCAGGTCTGCTGTGCTCATTCTTTTCTGCATAAATTATATTGAGAGAAATAGTTAATTAGATTACAGGAAGTCACCTTCCCAATATTCTAAAATCACAGTAAAATGAAGTCAATAGAAACCATGCCATCAGCATGTAGGTCTTCCGTCTGATTTTCTCTCAAGATCTATGCTAAGAAGCATGCAACCGTCTTCTTGACAACTTTACTGAACAATTTAGGTAAAATTCCTCTGAAGTTTTAAGTCAAAACAATATGTTGAAGGGTATATATGAATAAAAAAGTGTTATAATCAGTTTAAAATTAATAACAGATTTTAATGTGTTTGTATTATTTTCTCTATTTTAACTTTATTTTTATAACAGCAGATACACATTTCAAAAAGAAACAAAAATTGATATACAAATATAGGTTTCTGTAACCTATAGAATACTTTTTGCTCATGCTTGCTATGGTATTTCACAAACCTTAAAATATATATCAATAGTACTCATGTAATCAGTCTTAAAATCATTCAAATCTATATTTTAATATATAATAAACATATTTTCATATTACTCTAATCACTGTATTTTCCAACCTGTTTTCTGCAGTGTATCTGCTCTTCTTTTTCCTTCATCAGCTCACTTTTATGCTTGGAGGCATGCTTTAGATTTCTTTACTGTCTTACTTTCAGTGAAAGTCATAAATAAAATATAATAGTCTTTTTTATCTATTAACCATGTTGTCATATTTGAAAGCAAAGCCATCTATCATCCAACAAATTCTTCTTTAATTATAAAAAAATTAAATGAAGAAATCTGTCAGATACTGCCTAAAACATTGTATGACACTCAAAGCCACCAAAAATGGGACACACTGACATCATGAGCCTCTTGATCATGATGGAGCAGGGTACAAGATCACCTATACGGTGTCCTTGCAAAAAAGAAAAAAGAAAAAAACTTCACCATAATCTAATAAAGGGGAAATAATATAAGTCCAAAAGGAGGAATTCTGCAGAACAACTAGTATGGATTCTTCACCAACATAAATTTATAGATGAAAAAATGGCAGAGGAACAGTTCTAGATAAAAGGAATCTAAAGGAACACCACAAGTAAATGTAACATATAATCCTTGATGAGCTCTTGAATTAAAAAATCAAAGAAAGCTACACAGCAAACTATTTGAACATTTGGGAAAGTGTATGTCATAGCAAATATATAAATTTCATATATGATAATTATATTGCCACTCTGTTGGAGAATACCTTTGTTCTTAGCTGATAGATGCTGAAGCATTTAGGGGTGACATGTGATGGCTGAAAGTAGCTCTCAAGTAATTTTGCAGCTACAACATAAATACACACATACACATACATATAGCAAAATGTTAACACTGGGTGAAGCCAGATGAAGGTTATATGGGTGGGTTTTGCAAATTATTATAGGTTTAAAAAATTTCAGAAAACAAAATATGATATGGAAAAAATAGTTATTATGCATAAAGGACTTTCTTAATAAATATTCTGTCCAAAAGTTTTGAAAGCAGATAACTTTTTATTATGTCATAAAACTATTCATGATGAAAAGGAGAAATCTAAGAGAAAATGGTAGTAACATCACAAAGTTAAAAAATATACACAAACTGGCAATAATATACTTTTAAATTTCAATTAAATAACAGCATAATTAGAGTTAGATAAAATTACATTTTTCCTAAAGTCTTATATTCAAATTTCAAATTTAGTGCAACCTGCCTTCCAAGCTCACCAATAAACTAAGACATTCCTTATATGTAGGCACTAAAGGCTGCCATTGATTATTAAAAGCTGCAATGTATGCTTTACTCAGGCAAAAAATATGTATATATATAAATGAAAATATAAATGAAACAATTCAAGCTTTAGTCAAATTTAGAAGATTCAGAAAAATGAATAAAATAGGATATTATTTTCTCAGGTTTAAAATTCTTAAGATTTTCCTTTTAGAATAGTTTCAGTAAGATTGGCACCAACTCTCCTTTGAATGTCTGGTAGAATTGAGCTTTGACTCCCTCTGGTCCTGGGATTTTGGGGGAGTTTTTTTAATTACTGTTTCAATCTAAGTACTTGATTGTTCAGAGTTTTTATTTCTTTCTGATTTAATCTAGGGGGATTGTATATTTCCAGGGATTTATTCATCATCTCTAGATTTTCTAGTTTGTGCACATAAGGTGTTCATAGCAGCCTTGAATGATCCTTTGTGTTTCTGTAGTATCAGTTGTAATGTCTCCCATTTCATTTCTAATTGAGTTTATTTGGATCTTCTCTCTTCTTTTTTGGTTAAGCTCACTAATGATCTAAGAATTTTGTTTATCTTTTCAAAGAACCAGCTTTTTGGTTCATTTATCTTTTGGATTGCTTTTGTTTATTTGTTTTAATTTTATTTGGTTCTGCTCTGATCTTTGTTATTTATTTTCTTCTGTTGGGTTTTGGATTGGTTTGTTCTTGTTTCTCTAGTTCCTTGAGGTGTGACCCTAGATTCTCTATTTGTGCTCTTTCGGACTTTTTGATATAGGCATTTATAGGCATTTATCGCTATAAACTTTCCTCTTAGCATCACTTTTGCTGTATACCACAGGTTTTGATAAGTTGTGTCACTATTATCATTCAGATCAAAGAATTTTTAATTTCCACCTTGATTTCATTGTTGACCCTAAGATCATTCAAGAGCAGAGTATTAACTTCCATGCATTTGTATAGTTTTGAGGTTTCCTTTTGGAATTAATTTTGAGTTTTATTCCACTGTGGTCTGAGAGGATACTTGATACAGTTTTGATTTTCTTAAATTGATTGAGACTTGTTCCTGGTCTATCTTGGAGAATGTTCCCTGTGCTGATGAAAAGAACATATATTCTGCAGTTTAGGGGCAGAATGTTCTGTAAATATTTGTTAAATCCATTTGTTTTAGGGTATAGTTTAGGTTCATTGTTATACAATTATATACAATTGTATATACAATTGTACAATTATACAAGTTATACAACTTGTAAAACTCACTTAGGTACAGATAGTAAATCTAAATGATAATAAAATCATCTAACTCATTGAATTACTAATTAAAATGTAACTCCAGATAGTTAAGTCCATAAAACTTCAAAGATAAGTTCTATAAACATTTGACAAACAGATCCCTTTAAAAAAATTATTCTGGATATTAGAAAAACAGAGGAAACACTAAAGCACTAAAGAGCCTTTTTTTTTTTTTTTTTTTTTTGCCTTTAAGATAAAATGACCAAACAGGGAAACAAAAACAAAGAAAAAACTAAAAACCAAAATTATAGACAATTTTAAACATGAGTACAGTGGGTTAAGTACAATACTACCAACCTGTAACATATGCATTTATAAATGTATATACATATGTTAAATATTCACAAATAGATATTTTATATTCATATACACATATATACCTTGTCAGATACTTAGAGAATCTCTGCTCTCCTAAGTTTGTAGGCATATATTCTGAACCTTATTTTTCTATTTTCCTTATTTCACAATCAAAGGAAGAACTATCATTTCTGCTGACGTGTATACAGATATGTTGATTGAAACTGCATTTGTATCTACTGAGTGATTTTGAATATTACATGAAATACGAAATGCAAAATTCTTAAAACAATTGGTGACCTTTACCGAGTTATATTTATCTTGATTACCAATCTCAGTTTAGATCTGTTCTAGCAGATTGGCCTAATGTTTTGTGTAGTGTTATGATACATATTATTTCATGTTTTTAAAAGAGTTTCATAATTATCTTTGCTTATGTTTAGGCTGCTTGGAATTAAAAGAGGACACCATTGAGAACCTTCTTGCTGCAGCGTGCCTTCTTCAGCTTCCACAGGTGGTGGAAGTGTGCTGCCACTTCCTCATGAAGCTTTTGCATCCATCTAACTGTTTAGGAATTCGAGCCTTCGCAGATGCTCAAGGATGCATTGAGTTAATGAAGGTGGCCCACAGCTACACAATGGTAAGGAAACTTAATGTTTTAATAATGGAGACACACTCTGTGTTATCAGAGGTAAAAATAATTACTGTCATGGCATTAGCAAGTTTTTTAAGTTTAAAATGAGTTTTCTATGCTTGGCACATTTTTTTGTTATGAACTATAGCGTACCATAATGTATTTTCTAATTTTAAAAAACACATTCTATACTGGATTTATTGTTCTTTTGTGGATTTATTTTTTATTTTATTTTACATTTATTGGTTTATCATAAAAGACATTGCAAAGGATACAGATGAAGAGATGTGTAGGGTGAGGTATGAGGAGAGGGGCGCATAGGCTCCAGGCCCTCCCTGGGCACATAACCCTCCAGGAACCTCCACGTGTTGCATTCAGGAAGCTTCTTTATGGCTTTATGCACACTTAACAGGCAATACAGATATACATATTGATAGATATTAATAAAGTTATTTAAACTGATTTTCAAAATTGCCCCAGGCATATCTACCTTTGTACATTCACTTCCACAGCTGCCCTTTTATACATTTTTCTGCATTTTTTAAACCTCTCCGTCACAGCATATTGTACTTGGTGTGGCTATGCCAGTATGATTTTATGGAAAAAATTGAAGCCTATTTTATATTTTTCCCTTTTATTCCCTGTATGTGTGTGCGTGTGTGTGTGTATATATATATATATATATATATATATATATATATATATGTATGTATATGTATATATATGAGTGTGTATATTTAACAGCTTTGTAGAGAATCTAAAAGCCATTTCAATTGTACAGTTTAAATTTGTGTACTTTATAGCATGGGATTTTAAAAATATTAATTCCATTCTAGGATAGAATAACCAGTTACAAGTCTCATACCCATCATATTACCTATCCTAGAAATAATCATTCTAAAAGCATTTAATAGCATGGGTGCCTGGCATAGACGCCCTGTATCAATGCTACCTATTTTTACTGTGATATTATTATTCATATTATTAATGTCTTCATTGTTATTATTGAAACAACTAATGAAGTCTTATGGAAATTTTTGTCTCCAACTCAAAGAAAGAATTAAAATGAGATAAATATTGTTAAGCTTTATGGTTGCTATTTATTTCAAATTGAACACTTTTTCTAATTGCTAATGAGTCAACCACTTAAAAGTATTCTGATTGCCATTTTGAAACAGAGTTTCAAAATTATTTTCTTTTTCCTTTTTAATCCTTTAAGCAGATTACTAAATTAAATGAAAATATAGAAATAAAAGGAAGAAGATATGCAATTTGTAATTCTATTGGCAAATCCTTCTTTAGAAATTTTCCATGACAGACACGATGCTACCTTTGAAATTATGTGAACCATAGCAAATCAAAGTAAACAAATAATTCATCAACCAAAATATCAAAGTCCAACTGCCACCATTTAATTAGGCACATTTCATTAACTTTAGGAGCTCCTGGCTTAACTAAGCCAAAGAAAAATATGCCTCCATATCCAGAGGGATAATGGTCCCTTCTGGTCTAGTTGCAAATTATTAATTTAATAATGAAAATATTTTCCTTGCAGCTGCTTGGACTATTCTGCAATTTATCGCACAATAGTAACAAATTTTTTTCTTCAGAGACTTTAAAAGGTATGCTTCATAGGAAAATATATTTAAAACAGAAAAATAGAAGATTTCTAAGGTACTCAACATTCTGAATGACTCTAAATTAATTTATTTCTTAGACTGTGATATATAATATCTGCTGAAATTTAAATGATTTCAAATTATTTTGAAAATGTGATGCTCTGGTATTCTATAGATGTTTATGGTAACCATTTTAGAGAAAAATTACTGACCAGTTGTCTTCCCAGATCTATATTGTCCCTTCAGTTCCAGCAGTTTAAAATGAGTGTTTTGCATCTGATAATGTGATTTATCATCACATATTTGCCTCTGATCCTTGTCCAATCAGGCATATGTTCTCATCTAATCTACCCAATCTGTGCTTTGAAAGCAAACATATTGTGTGTGTTTTTTTTTCTCCTTAACTGCTTTAATAGCAAATCATTCCATTTTTTCTACTACACGTGGGATAGAATTAACTTCTCTCCTGACTGTAATTATTTGTCTGATTGCTTAATACATAAGGAACACTTTCAAAATTTTTAAATTTCTTGCCCAAACTCTTTAGATGTAAACTTGATCTTCAAAGACCAAAGGTCTGGTCTACCCAGACTTTAATTTGCTATCTATATTTCTCTTCTTTATTATTTGTCATCTTTCCTTTGGAAATTTCACTTATGTATTTGGCTTCAGCTACTGAATTTGTGCAAATAATTCCGAAATCTTTTGGGAAGGTGACTCAGCTTGGCAATGAATCATGCAAAATACTGGAGAATTTTGATTGCGAGCTCAGCATCAGGTAGAAGTGTAAAATTAATTCTGAAACATTAATGTAAACTGTGTCTGCATGAATATAGAGATAGCACCAGAATAGCAGCACTGAAGGAAATAGTCTCATTGTACTCTCTTAGATTATATTATGAAATTTGTGCTTAATTCTGGATATAACATTTTAAAAGCAGTAGAGAGTGGCAAACGGAAACAGATTAGAATAACAAGAATAGTAAATTTTATGTGGTTATGAAATATGAAGAAAAGTTGAAAAAATGGCTGCCTATGCCAGAATAAAATTAAGGCATGACAATAACTGTCATATATTTGATAGAATGGACTTGTGTTTAAAGCAGTGGTCTTTAAGTGTTTCTCATTCTGTTTTTAAATTTATTTTACTAATGCAATTCTCTGTTCAAATTAAATATTATATCAAAGTATAGTTTTAGAATTGATCTGCTTTGGGTAAAGATGGGCAGAAAGTCCAGAGTCAACTTCCATCTCCAGATCTTTCCTTCCCTGCTGAGTTGTCAATTCCCACTGGTCATCATTGCTACTTCCCTCCAAAGTCAGCTCTGCCTTTTGGGGGACACACGTGGAACATTTTTATCCAGCAATCCTTTCTCTAGATGGTTTTTGGTTAGATCTTGCCAATAAGAGGCATTCATGTAAGATATGAAAGCTGGAAGAGAAGCAGCAGCCATTATTCTCCACGGGCAGTTGCAGGAAGATATGTAGGTAAATGGAAAAGTAAAATAAGTTACAAGCGAGTGATCAAAGCTATTTACCCCACTGTTGCAGGCTGACACCATTGTTGGGAGGCCTCTGGAGGTTCTTGAGGAATGCAGTGTCTTTGCAGAGTGCTTTTGAGAAAATTCATGTTGAAATGAAGGTTGAAATCTTCAGTAGAAACTTCCCTGACCTTCATAGTTTTTTCAATGGCTGTTTAAACCTTCAATTCTCTATTCATATCTTTTAAACTTAGAACATTGAGTGTTTTATTTTCTTAATTAAAAAAAATTCAAAACATGCTTCAACATAGCATCATAGCATGTTCAATCTTCATTTTTTTTTTTTTTTTTTTGAGATGGAGTCTCGTTCTGTCTGTCACCTAGGCTGGAGTGCAGAGGCGTAATCTCCACTCACTGCAACCTCCGCCTCCCAGGTTCGGGCAATTCTCCTGTCCCAGACTCCCAAGTAACTGGGACTACAGGCACCTGTCACCACACCTGGCTAATTTTTGTATTTTTAGTAGAGACGAGGTTTCACCTTGTTGGTCAGACTGATCTCAAACTCCTGACCTTAGGTCATCCACCTGCCTTGGCCTCCCAAAGTGCTGGGATTACAGGCATGAGCCATCACACCAGGCCTCCATATTCTGATATACATAGTCCTCCACACCTACCCTCTAAGCTGCTACCCAGGCATTTTTCCTCAATGTTAGATGCAATTGCTCTCATTCCTGCTAAATATGTGTTGTATGGTTCCTTCACTCTTACTTAACTCAGACCTTCCTCTTGTTGGAATCCATTATCAAATTCTGAATAATCTCTCCCTGTTTCTAGTTCAAGTTCATTCATGCCCAAGAAATATCTTTAAACTTTTCATGGCATTAGCTCTCACAAATGAAATCCTAGTATTCCTTTCTTTAGGATTGTGTGATATCATAAACTTTCTTATACAATTAATTATTTTTATTTCTTTGTGACTAGTCTTTACAAATATATTGCGGATTTCTTTATGACAAGAGAAGAAGCATTCTCCATTGAATTTTTTTGTTCCATCAAAGTGTCTAGTATCTTGTAATACATTCATCAATTCCCTGTTTCTCTTGGGTACTTTTGCAGGACTTTCTTTAATTTACTCATTCAACAAGACTACAAGTGTGTGCCTTTGACATTTTTAAAATCACATTTTCTGCTATTATTTTCCCTGTTCATACAGTTCTAGCCACACTGATCTTCTTACTGTTTTTTGACAACACTAAGCATAACTTCACTTGTGGAGTCTTGTGCTTGTTCTTTCTTCCCTCTGATGGAAATACTCTTCTGCCAAATATTTATATCTGTTTCTTCTCTACCTCATTCAGATCTTTGTCAAATGTTACTTCTACAGAGACTCATTCTCTGAAAACTCCATGTTATGTGCCAGTACCTTCAAAACTCTCTATTCTCTTACACTCCTTTTTTATTTTTTAGAGTCCTTGTTTAGTTCCTGGCTTTATAATATATATTTGTTTTTGTTATTGTTGTTTTTGTTGTCTATCTGCTCAATTAATATAGTAGCTTCTTGATAACATAAAACAACTTTTGTAACATAAGTGCCTAGATAAATCTCCATATATACGATTAATTACTGAATGAATAAATGAAGGTATAGTGACTATTGACTGCTATGTACCAAGTTCACCAGTAGGTGAACTATGTACCAAGTTCACCAGTGGGTGAACTATGTACCAAGTTCACCAGTACCAACTATGTACCACGTTCACCAGTAGGTGGCACAGGAAATGCAATGGTGAACAAAATAGAAATGATATTGCCCTTAGAGTCAAGGTTAATATATTGAATGAAAACAAATTATCATTATAAAGTATAACTATTTATGCCTATATATGTGTATGTGTATACTTTATAATACTTTATAATGATAATGATACTTTATAATGATAATATGTATATATATACATATATATATATATATATATATATATACACATGCACACACACACGGTAAATTTTACAAAGAAAAATTATGAGACGCAATGGGAACCCTCCCATAAATCAGGAAAAGATTCCTTAAATAAATGATGTTTATATGAATTGTAAAAAATGAGGTAGAATTAGTCAGGTGTAGATTTGGTTAAAGAATGTTCATAACAGAAGAAAATGGATTGCCAATGATCTGAAGTGGGAAGGCAATTGTTCTGTTTAATGAAATTCAAGGTAGATGGGATGGTGGAGAGGGACAAGAAGAGAGGTAGTTTATGAGGCTGAAGATCTAGGCAGAACCAATTGTGTAGGGTTATGGAGACTTTGTAAAAACTGGGGATTTATCTGGAATATAATAATATGCCATTGAACATTTTGAACAAGTAAGGACAAAGGTTTAATTTTAAGATGAGTTATCAGACTGACATAAAAGGAAGGCAAGAAGAGAAACTAAGAATAGAGATTAGTATACCCTAGAGGCGTATACACCCACTCACATAATTTGTTTATAATGATAAATTATCATTATAAATGACAATTACATATGCCTATATATGTATGTATGTATACGTCTGTGTATACATATAGGTAAATTTTACAAAGAAAAATTATAAGATGTAATATAAGATGTGATATATACTCACATCCACATATTCGGAGACTGAGAAATAAAAAAGAGAGTGAGGTAACGCTACCTTCTGCCATCGTGCTTGGCACATAAGCAGCAGCTTTACTGATGGCGAGCCTTACCACCAATGATGCTGGTGATGGCACACATAAAGTTTAAAATATTGTCCTATTGCCACTATAATTCTAGGTGTTAAATATATTAAATTTACTCCTTTCAAAATCCCTGCAAGGCAAGTGTTATATCCATTTTAAAAACAATAAAACTGTGATTCAGGATTGTTAAATAATTTACTCAGGATCAATAGATAGACATGCTAGAATGGGATAATAAACCCAGTACTATCTCACTACAGATTTCATGCCCTATTCAATATGCTAATGAATATACCGTGATTACATATTGCCCATAATATTAAGTCGAATTCCTGATACCGAGACACAAAATATGAATTCCTTCAGACAAATGGATATTATGAACCTGAAAGAGAAATAAGACCAAAGAACTTTGTGATTTTTTTTTCTCAAGTATTTTTTTTTCCCCCTTCTCTGTTTTCTGTCCGGTGCTACCAGTATGACTTAGAAGATTTCATTAGGTTTAGGCTGGAGGCAGAGACGGTGGCACTAAGACTAATTAAAGGCTGCCTTGTTCATAAGTAGCTTTGAAGGGTGGAAGACTCATACCTGCAGCATAAAGCCTTCCAGAGTCAGTGTAAGAGTAGCTGCCCTTTCAGAATCTGGTAGTAGTAAAAACATGCTATACATCCTTCACTTGTCCTTTAGAGCCACTGGAAAAAATACCTATAGAAAGAACAAACTATATCAATGTGGTTTGTGATCATGGTTTTAAAATACCCGACATGTTTCATGGTTTCTAGCTAGCTACATGCTTTTAATCTTGACCAATAACCCTGCTAATAAACCATAAATTAGAGTTTGCCTTAGAAGAATATTTGGAGTGTAACTTTAAATATTCTTGTTTTATAAGTCATACAAATAAAGTTTACTTCACCTACATTTTTCTCAAGACTATTACATGATACATTAGTATTAAATGATTTTTAATGTTATCTTTTTTCTTTTATTTATCATTTTGTGTTACTCCTTTTCAGTGTCTCACATGCCTTCGTGGTCTTAGTAACTAGTTATATATAATTGATGAGTTGAAAATTACCAAAATTTGACTTTCAGCATGTCTTTGTAAGTATATATGAAATGAAAAGGTCAGGGTGAGTATAATGAACGTTTAAGGGACAATGACTAGTGATGTTTAATGTTGAAAAGAACTAAGTAAAAATGTGGCAGGCTGGGTACAAAGGAAATTTCTCTTCTTCCTCTGTTTTTGTTTTTGTATTTCTTAACATTCTTTGTCCCTGAATTAGATGGAGAACTCTTTTTTTATGGTTATCAAAATCAAATTAATAAAATCAAATTAATTAACACATCAATTGCTACCCATTATGTAAATTAGATCCCTAGAACTTGTTCACTATTCTTTACAGGCAATTTGTACTCGTGTTACAAATTGGAGTCATTGGTAAAATTAGTGTCCTTATTTGCATATTTTTGTTTTATTCTATTTGTTCTACTGAGCTTCGATTTCTAAAACATTAAGATATAACACATAGCTATATAAAGCTGCAACACACACACACACAAGCACAATATATTAAAAATATCTTAGGTACAGTAGGTTAAATTTTTTAAGAGCTGTCATAGGTCTCAAGTTGATGCTGTGGCAACAATATAACTAACAAAGTTTCAAGAAGGAATACTAAACATTTTAAAATATCCTGTAAACACACATTTAAACTTATAAGTAGTGCCTAAATATTTAATGATTTCAATCATTTAAGATGTAGTATTCCCTTCTGGATAAGAAACATTCTTACATTATTAGAGTGATTCTAAAAGGACTTCTTATGATATGTCAGAAGGAAGAAATGTCAGGGTCTTCCAGGGTCGTTTCAACTTATAAAGCACAGTCTTCCACAAATAAAATCAATAATTTGCTTTTTTTAATGAGAAAAAAATCTGTTTTTATACATACAAAAATCCCCCTTTATAATAATTTGCCTATCATGAACCAATGTTGTAAAATATTTATATTTTCTGATCAGGTAAAAATCAGTTATGCATAGAGCTAGACTGTATAAGGCAACACACAGCTGTCCAGTTCACAGCCATATTCTTAATGCTTAGTATAGCACCTGTCTCATTTTAGGCACACAATAATGATATCTGAAAGAAAGAATAGATGAATAAGTACTTTCGCATATTAATAATTTGAAATATACAATTAGATATCATAATCTTAAATATGAATATAAGTAATTTGTAGTAAAATATTTTCTCTGCATCCTACAATAATTTAAAATATTTTTGTGCCTAATTTTATTATTGTACCTCCTCATTAGAAAATTTAATAAGAAACAAATGCATAACAAGATGCATCCATGATGATTAAAATTCATTAACTTTTTTCTATTTATTTCAAAACTTTTTAACAGGTAACATAATTTCCCATCTAATTTCTGTTCCTGTTTTTAAGTTAAAATAAGTGTCAATGGATTTATTTTCTACTCAGTGTCTGTGTTCAATATTTTTGTTTATTTCAAATAAATGGTATCCTTAGTTAAGTTTTCATTTCATTGAAGTATCACCATACTATTGAGGAACAAATATAAAACCTAGTGAGCCAACAAAGAGGTCACATACTAAAGGAAGAAATAATACTAAGCCAAATGTGTTATATTTTCCTATGATTGAAGATTATATAAAATAACACATCATAATAGAAAATTGCTGGATAATAGTAAGTAGAAAAGGACAAAACTTTAAAGAACGGGATTCAAAGCCAGACCAATGTACTTTAGGTTGGGAGCTTATTTCCAATAAGCAGTCATGTTTTATGCAAGACAAAGTTAATTTGGGCAATGTGATGATAGGGAAACTTCAGCTCAATTAAAATTGTGTGATTTACAATTAGCAAAATAGGTGATTTCTTAAAGATAATGAAGAGCAAACACTTTTCAGCAAAATGAACTATTTCACCAATAGTAAATCTTAGTAGATTTATTTAACACTGAGTAAATATTCAGGCTAGATATTATAGTAACCATTTCTTAAAGACAATTTTCACATTAGTTGAATCTAAAATTAAAATTACATGAAGAGGTTTCCAAATATATATAGATGGAAATTAGTTTCTCTGCAGTTATATTTGAAAAGAGAGTAAGTGAATTATCATTTTATAAAGTAGTGTTTCTAATTTGACGTCTGATATATGGGTAAGAATATATGATAGTAACAAATTAAGGTGGTAATAGTACATACCATGAAATGTAAAAGGTAGTTTTACAAGTAAATATTATATATTGCAGTTGAGCTAGAAGAAAATTGATGAAGTTAAAATCAGGGCTTTTTATATGTAGTCACTGATTAACGCATATATGCATAAATTTACATACATAAATAGACACCTGTATCAGCATTAACTGAATATATAAATCAGAAAAAGGCTGTAGTTTTAAGGAATGAATTCTATAATGGCCTTAGTTTGGATTGTTTTAAAAATCCACACTTTCCACAGATCATGTATTATACACTTGTGTGATCATTATCCTACTAACTTTCACATTTTATGCTTTTATAAATTTGATACAGAACTAGAAAAAGCGTAAATAATATATAAACAACAATGGCATATTGCCTTTATTAGTTAAGTTTGCTTTGTTGTATGTGCAGGAAAATATCATTTGAGGATGCATTGATATAGTTTTGTATTCTTTGGAAGGAGATTCACAAATTGTATTTTCTTAATTATTCAGCAAGACTATCAGAGAGTATGTCATAAAATATTGAAAACTTGAAAATCTCAACTATTCTCAAGTACTCTAAAGCTTGGTTTTTAAGTGACCAATGATGTGGTGTGCATTTGAAAAGCTTTTGGTACTTTGTAATGGTTTAGTTGTCAATAGACTGCAACATCACTTTGCACAGAATATTATTTTACTAGAACATTTAGAATAAAAAATACCTTGATGAATTCACTTGAAATCCATCATAGTAAATGGATGCACTTTCTTTTTCTTTCACATTTTTTACATCATAAAATGCTCTGAGGATTATTACCTTAATTTATCTCATGAAGGCAGAAATATGAGTGATTTATTTCATATAAAACTTGCTAATAAACATAAGCTAAACAACAGGATCTATAAATTTCTCAAAGTGCATCTTTGGAAACCTAGGCAAAAGAGATGTGAATCAGTGATGCTACTATTTCCAACCTAAAATAAATAATTTTTCTGATATCTTAACAGCTGAAAAATTTACCAACTTCCCAAATCAGCTGGAGCGAGCAGGATAACACCAGCCAACCATCAATTCTTCATTCAATAGTAGCCTTCAATATCAGACAACATTATTAAAATATATTTATTTTATTGATCAAAGAACAAAGTCCTGAGTATATATGGTAATCAAGAGTTGCCATTGTTTTATTTAGAAAAGGCAATGTAATGTATATCAGAATTTTATTTTGAAAAGCCCATAATCCCGTGCAAATAGTTTTGTGGCCATTGCTGTTTTAACCCAAAAATATGACTAATAATGAAATTATTTTACAACTAGCATAATATATTCTTAGCATTAAATATTGATCTAAAATTTAATTAATAAAATACTAGAATTTATGACATTCATTGAAGTTCAATTTTAAAATAATATATGAGATGATACAGCACCACCAAAATTAAAGGAAAAACATGTTCAAAATCTTGGCATAAGTAATCCAAGTAATTCCAACTAGGTACACATAGACTAAACTAGATAACTTATTAAGTCCTTCTTTAAACCACAGGCCAAAAGTCTAGGCTACCCCTTTTAATTTTACCCTGAATATGTTTTTACTCTTCTGTTTTACTGTAGACCAACAGTCTTATTTTTACCTCAATTATTTAAATTTTTTTATTATCTTCCCAATTACTGAAGGCGTTTGAGATTTCAATACCTACTTTGAATATAAAATGAGATAAAACACAGAATAATTTCAATTCTTGAAAACCAGAAGGCTTGACGTTTTAACAATGTTTAATACAACTGGGTGTCTTTGAGTAGCTCACTTGATGTGTTTATCATTAACTGTGAAGCAATGAAGTTTGTTTAAGATCGCCAAAATGGTCCTTTGTGGTTCTTTGCAGCTTATGATTCTACAAATATCTTGTTAAATCTTAAATTTTATAAAATGCAAATGCATGTCTGGATAATGTTGATAAGTGCCGTCTTGTCATTAAGTAATAAAACTGTTATGTCCCCACAAAACATTATTTGAGCATAAGAGATGATCAATAATTGGTGAAGAATGAATAAATATTTTTCTACTTTCAAATTTATATCTTTTATAATACATCGTGGAGATATGACTTATATACCATACAATTCACCAATTAAAATTATACAATTTAATGCCTTTTAGTATTTTCAGAGTTGTGCAACTATCACCACTATCACTTGTAGAACATTTCAATCACCTCGCCAAGATACCTCTACCTATTCGCTCTCCATTTACCTCCTTAGGCTAGGAATAATCTACCTTCATCTATATAGATATTCAATTGATGGGCATTTAATAAAAGTGGAATCATACAATATGTGGTTTTGTGAGATTTGATTTATTTCCCTTAGCATAATATACTCAAGACTCATTTATGTTTTACCATGTATCAGTAATTTATTTATTTGTATTGTGAAATACTATAGCATTGTATAGATATGCCTCATTTTATTTATCCATTCATCGGTTGATGGACATTTGAGTTGTTTACACTTTGGGCCCCTTATGAATAATGCTGCTGTAATTTTAATAGGTTTGTAGCCCAATGCCCATGGCAAGTTAATATGCTGAGATACCTGGTTGCAGCAGACAAAGAGGTTTATTCATACGGCTGACATATGAGAAGATATGAGGAAACCTCAAATCTGTCTCCCTGAAAAGTTAGGGAATCGGATGTTTAAGTTTTTGAGTGGGCTGAAGTGTGGAGATTGTCAATTGGCGGGAAACTGCAAGGTGAAGTTATGGAACAAGGAGATGAAGAAACTATTCTGTAGCTGATGATTTTCCTCTATGAGAGTCTTCAAACAGGTTGGCATCAGCTGTTCCACTGGAATTCAGGTTCTGAAAAACATCTTAAGCAATTCTTAAACAAAAGCCTAATGATTCTAATGTCTGAAATTCTATCTATAGGAACAATGGGGGTGCCAATGGTTAGTATGTAGTGCTATGTGACTTTCTATGAAACCACAAGGACATGGCCCAAACTGTAGCCTAATTAATGCTTAATTATATTTCTGTCCAGCATTCTTGTTAATCCTGTGAGGATAGCTTGACTGCTATGAACATTCATATACAAGTTATTGTGTGAACATAATATTTTCATTTGGGGGTGTATGTGCCTGGGAGTGATATGGTTATACAATAACTCCATGTTTAACATTCTGAGAAACTACTAGACTGTTTTCCAACCTAGCTGTACATTTCATAATCCATTCAACAGTATGTGAAGAACTACATACTTGCCAATAATTTTTGTTGTTTTTTATTGATTATAGCCATCCTAGTATGTGTAAAATAGTATTTCGTGGTTTTTGTTTGTGATTTTCCTATGTCTAATGAAACTGAGCAAATTTTTGTGAATTTATTGGACATTTATATATCCTCTTTGGAGAAATGTTGCTTAGAACTCTTGACCATTTTTAATTGAGTTTTGAAAAATTACTTAGTTGTAAAAGTTATTTAAATATTCTAGATATAAATCTCGTATCAACTATATGATTTGCAAACCTTTTCTTAAATTTTGTGGGTCGCTTCTCACTTTCCTGATGAGAAAGTGTTTTCTCAATGAGGACAAAGTTTTAAATTTCAATGTTGTCAGATTTATCCATTTTTCTTTTATTGCTTGTGCTTTTGGTGTTACAGTTAAGGAACGTTTAACCAATCCAAGGTCACAAAGATTCCCACATATGTTGTCTTTTGTGACTTTGGCTCTTATATTTAGCTCTTTGATTCACTTTGAGTTAATTTTTATATGGTGTGAAGTAAAGGTGTAACTTTATTATTTTGCATGTGTGTATCATGTGTACACATGTATACATTTTGCGTGTGTAACAGCACATGTTGAAAATAACATTTTTCTCCATGGAATTTTCACCAAGATCAATTGACTATAAATATGAGATTTTATTTCTGGACTCTCAATTCTTTTTCATTGATTACTATGTGTGTCTTTATGCCAGTACCGCATTCTCTTGTTTTACTGTAAATCAAATTGGTGAAAATTTTGAAATTGGGAAGTGTGAATTCTCTGCTTTTTTTTTTTTTTTTTTTTTTTTGAGATGGAGTCTCACTCTGTCACCCAGGCTGGAGTGCAGTGGTGTGATCTTAGCTCACTGCAAGCTCTGCCTCCCAGGTTCACGCCATTCTCCTGCCTCAGCCTCCCAAGTAACTGGGACTACAGGCACCCGCCACCATACCCAGCTAATTTTTTGTATTTTTAGTAGAGACGGGATTTCAACATGTTTGCCAGGATGGTCTCCATCTCCTGGCCTCGTGATCCACCCGCCTCAGCCTCCCAAAGTGCTGGGATTACAGGCTTGAGCTACCGCGCCCGGCCTGAATTCTTGGCATTCTTATTCCAATATTTTGACTATTTTTGGTTCCCTATATTTTCATATGAAATTGGTATTATCTTGCCAATTTCTGCAAATAGCCAGCTAGGATTTTGATAGGCATTACATTTAGTCTACAGATAATTCAGAGAGTATTACTATCTTAAAAATGTTAAGTTTACTGATCTATGGACATGAGATGTTTTATGAGGAAATCGAGGTTCTTATTTTATAGATACTCAGGTGCTTTGTTGGTATATTGATGTAATTATTTTATTCTAACTTGAACTATTAGCATACTTGCAATTAGTCTTCCCATAATGTTTATTTTTTTTAAAGTCATGGCATTTAATATATGCTTTTTAAATAACTTAAGCTATATAATAATCCTTGAATTTCCCATCAGTTGCACTTCTGACTGGTTAGGTGTGGGCAATATGCCACCCTTTGACTCTGCAGATCAATCCACATCACGAAAACACATGTTGCAGGATGTTTGAGAGCATCTCCCCTAAATCAAACCGAACAGCTGTGATGATTAAAGTTACTTTAATAATAAAAAACTAGAAACGTTTATTGGGATAATATTTACAACTATAGAATATTGTGCAAGGTTAAAAGAGAATGAACTTGCTATATAGACTGACTTGAAAGGAGGTCCAACATTAATTAGTGAATGCATATGTATTGTATTTGATTATTGTTGATATGCTGCTATATGAGGTGAAAATGTAGCTGGTGAACTTATTAACAACTAGGTATACATTTTCAAGAAGTTAAAACATGACTCTATTGCAAAGTAAAAACCATAACTCACACAGTATACAAGCTAAATTATTTATCTCATATTTATCTCATGAATGAGAGTAACAACATGATGGTAATATAAGTTTAAGGAGACTAAAGTCACTACAAAAAATAATGTTGAAATTAACTTGTAAAGACGAAACCAGTTAATGTCATATAAGGCAATAAAACTTCAAATGTTAGAGTTTATTTTTTTCAGAGGGCAAAAATCATTTACAACTATCAGTCTTCTGCAAATTAATATATAATTTCAGATAGATATGGTGAATCATACAAAGTCATATTCTTCTAGTAAATTAAATAATCCTTCAACAGTGTCAATGTTCACATGTGATATTAGTGATACTGTCATATATGTGTCTTATTTATAAGAGCTGCATAATATTTCTTAACAATACAAAGAGGGGCAAGAAAAAGCAAAGAATTACAATTTCTTCATGATTGCACTAAAATATTAATAATTATAGTAGTGGATTATTATATGCCAGACTGTGTTCTAAGTGTTTTACATATATTATATTAACTGTTTTCATCCTAATAGTGCTGTAAGTAGCATCTTTACAGCTAAAATTTTGAAGCACAGACAAGGTCATTAGCTCACTGAACTGTGCTCAATGAGTGTTGGAGCTAGAATTCAAATTATGAAAACTAGACAAAAAAATCTGAAGTTTTAACCATAATACTGTTATGGGATACTTGGGATGTTGCTTCACCAGCTGAAAACCTCTGTGTCCGGTGGTGCCTTTGCCTGAGTTTTGATTGAACCTGCTGGACCCACTCAGCCTGTGAGGCTGTCCCCAGCTTGCACTACCAGCCTGAATCCCATGCCTGCCAAGGGAAAGCAGAGTGGCAAGGAGTGTGTGAGCGAGGTAGCATGGGATCTGGCCACTGTGCACAGCCAGACATGCTGACTGCAGGAGGGTGAGCAGCTCTATTTGCTGGCACAGGTGCCAGCTCCCTGCAAGGCTGTGGCTGGACCAGGCGTCCCACAAACAGCTTCCACAGCTGGCACTGGGGAACATGGTGGTATCTGGAAGCTAGGAGATGCCAGGAATCACAGAGCCCCAAAGAGGGTGTCACAGCCCTGGCTCAGGGAGCTCTTAGGTCTGGGCTCCCTAAAGGGCGGCTGCTCTTCTCTCCTTCTTGTTGTACACAACGTGATGAGCAAGGGGCGTGTTTCAGCTCTGTTTGTGTTACAGCTTTCAGCCCCACCATTTGGTGGGTCCTGAGTTCTTGTCCCGTGCCCAGGAAGAAGGAGGTATGTGGATCAGTGGAGGGTCAGCAAGACAAACAGGAGTTTTATTAAGTGATAGAACAGCTCAGAAGAGACTTTCTGTGGGTAGCTTCACTCTGCAGCTAGGGTGTCCCAATGAGTGTTCAGCTCTCAGAAGGGGTGAGACCCTGGAGTGAGTAGCTCCTTTCTGCAGCTGGCCATCCAAATGACTCTCGAGTCTGGCTGAGTCTGGGGGGTTTTATGGGCTTCAGAGGGGAAGAAGTGAATGCTGATTGCTTCATGGACAGCCATGGGCAGGCCCGGAAAAAGCACAGTAAGTTCCCATTCTGTTCCATCAGCACAGCCCTCAGGCTTCAGTGCATCCCTGGCTTGAAGGTGGGATTTCACCAGGTACCTACCCCTTTCCACACAAAAGCCTGTCTGCTTTCTGCTGTCATCAATGGTGCCCAGGCTGTTTGTGCTGAGGAGCACCTGCAAGCCAGCACCAAGCTCCCTCCTTGGCCTCCCTCCCATGCTTATCGGTGCCCAAGGTCCAGAGGGGGTCGAGGCAGCAGGGAGTTGGCATGTCAGCACTGCTGCAGGCATGTGCACACGTGGCTGAATTGCAACAGCCCTCGGGCTTAGCCTCAACTGTGTTCCAAGATCAGAGCAGGTGCCGGGAGTAGGAAGAGGCCAGGCAGCAGGAGCAGGCACTTTCAAGCCTGTGGTGGCAGGGTGGGGCTTCCCAGGCCCCCAAGAGTGCAGAGATGCCTGGGCCCACAGCTGCAGCTTGGGCAGCTGCAGCTGCGCCTGGGAAGTGCAAACTCCTGCCCTGCCAACTCAGAAGGCAGCAGGGCTTCTGCCTCTTCCATGGCAAATGTAGCCCTGGCTGCACCTCCTCCACTGCAGCTGGCATCATCGCAGCAGCTGCTCTAGATGGACTGCCATATTCATCAGTACTATATTGTCTCTCACTAACTCTCCTCCTTATATTGTAATTTTTCATCAACTATTTTATTCTTATAAATGTGTCTTCCTTCCCAGAAGCACCTACTAAAATCACCTCAAAGATAACATAGTAGTAATAATAATCATTTTAATTCAAGATGGCACTTTAAAAATAATAAGTATAAATAAAAGCATCTTAAGAATGTAATTTTTTGATTGAGCTGTAATAGACACTCTGTAGTATTCTGTGCTTTCCCTGCAATTTCAAGAAGACAAGAACTTTAGCACCTGCCCTCCAAAACAGATTACCACCTCTAAGCAACTCCAACGGAGACATACTTGAATCCCCATTGCAGCATAGAGTCACCCTCCACCAAGCTACAAAATTACTTCTGGCAAAGTGGGCCAGTGACTCCATGGTTTAAATATTTAATTTTGTTTTTCT